>NC_000010.11:57112792-57264307 GCF_000001405.40 Homo sapiens
TGTTAGCCTCTTAAAGCTAGTTAAGGTGAGTTCTTTTCTGTTCTCTTTTCAGAATTACTTTGTTTAAGATTGGTATTATTTCTGCTATTCATAAATGATAAAATTTACTATTAAAACTACTTGGTCTAGGAGATTCCTATGTGGAAAATTTTTTATTGTAAGATCAATTGCTTTAATAGATACAGAGCTATCGAGACTTTTTATTTCATCTTGAGAATATTATTTCATTAGAACTTCTGTACTTCTAATTGGTTACATTTGTAGTAACATTATAAAATCTACAGTGACATCCTCATTTTATTACCCATATTGGTAAATTTTGTCTTACCCCTTCATTTATTGACTAGTAAAGAGAAACAAGTTTTGTCTTTGCCAACTTTCTGTATTGCTTGTTTCTATTTTTTAATAATTTATCTTCTTATATTTATTATATTTTTCCTTCTAATTACTTGGAGATTAGCTTTTAATGTTTATATCACTTATTTCTTTGATTCTAATATAACCATACAAAATTGTCCATTCTCTTCCAAACACTGCTTTTGCTCTGTCCCAAAAAGTTTGAAATCCATCTACATTTGTCTGTCTTGGTGAACATTTCACCTGAAAAAAAAAAGTGTGTAAATTGCCATTTTGAATGTCGTGTTCTATAAATCACAATTAAATTAATGTAGTTGATAGTATCATTAATTTCTCTTATATACTTACTAATATTTTGCCCAGTAATTCTAGTCTGTTAGACAATTGTAACTATATTTGCCTATTTTCCCTTTAGTCAGATGAGACAGGAGCTGAAGTCAGAGAGAATTAAAGCATGTTCTCAACTCACTCTCACTGGAGGAAGACACATAGAAAGCTTAAGAATGCAGGCAGAATTCAGGAGCAAAACCAGCCTTCACCTGACAGCTAACAAGGAAATGTGGACATTTGCCCTACAATCATAAGGAAATAAATATGGTCAACTACTTGAATGAGCTTGGAAGTTGATTCTTGCCCTCAGCCTCCGGTAACCATTGTAGTCCTTGTAAAATCTTGATTTTAATATTTTTAGATTGTAAGCAGTAGATCCAGTTGAGTCCACTCAGACTTCTGACCTACAGAAAGTGTGAGATAATACGTTTCTGTTGTTTTAAGCCAGTAGGTTTACAGCAATTTGTTATAGCAACATTGGAAAACTAATAAAGATTTTGATATGGAGAAATTTTAAAAATCTGAAAATTAAGATAATGAAGTAAATTAATGCAAAAACAAAAATGCCTATTCTACTTGGGGTCTTGGAATAAACAGAAGAAAAGAAATACTTTAACAAGATATTACATTATAAAAAAGATAAGACCAAATGGAATATAATATTTTGAAATGCATACAAGACCAAATTAATAAATCGAGAGCTAAACACAAAGAAAATGAAATTTTATCTCCATTAAAATCTTATAACTACTAGTTTAAATAATGCATTCACTGCTTTGAGTTAAACCTTTAATGATATGGCAACTGATGAGAATTACATACTGCATTACATTAGAGTATCTTTGAGATTGCATCTCCTAACATGTAGATGTCAGGAGGCTCTTACTTGTTTAACAGATTATGTTTTGGGCATAGAAAAACCAAAAGGCTCTCTCCAGAACACAACTTGTACTTCTTATTTTCATTGTTTTTTAACATATTCAGGCTTTGTCCTAGAGTATTATCCTTTTACAGGTAATAGTTCATTATCACTTCAATATTACGTTTTCTAATCTAAATACTGGGAGAGAATAGGTGCTACCTGGAAGAAAATTTCTACATTGACACAGGAACCCTATATTTATGCTTAATTGAACTAAATCAAAGTTATTTTCAATTAATTCATTCTTAGTATGAATGAATATTCTACCATTATGCCAACAGGCAGAACAATTTTGCAGCGGTGCTTTGGGAAAATGAAGAGTGAAGAAAATGGCATTTCTTCTTGCCAGAGGTTGTTTCCACTAAAAATGGCTCACTTTTAGTTTTAAATTGGTTTCATTAATTGAAACATGACTTATTCTTTTTAAAATCAAACAGACTTCTAGAATAACTCCCTTGATAGGCAGAATAGCTAAAGAGCTATGAAAATGGGTGCTGGAGCCAGACTGTACAGGTTTGAATCCTAACTATATAATTATCTGTGTAACAATGGGCTATTCACCTCCTCTTGCTTGTTTCCTCTTATACAAAATGGAGACAATAGTAGCATCTACTTTATAGAGTTGCTGTGAGGATTAAATGAAATAACAGAACATGTAAAGTTAACATAGCATGCTTTCATTAAAATTAATTATTACAATCATTCTTTCAGAAAATTTCCTTTTTTATTTGAATCATCCATCTAAAAACTTATGGTGTAGTCTCATCCAACCCCTTTCAAAAGCTACACTTCATAATTATCACTAATCTTTCAAGTGGCCCGTGCAAGCTGATGAAACTCATTAATCTCTAAACAGAACTAGTTCATTGTACTTTCTTGCTTTTATAAATGCCTTTGACTCTATCTTCAATTTCCTTCTTTTCTCCACCTACCTGTGTTCTATTCTTATTAGTCTTAAGTTTAAAAAAAAATCTACTTTTCATGAAAGCCTTTCCTAATTCTCTCTCTCTAACCCACATCCTCTCAACATGTGAATTTTATATAGTTACTTCAGTTTTTTCCCCTTTAATTAAATTTTATATTCTTGAAAGAACAGATTTATTTATTTTACTTTACCACATCATCTTAGGCAGTGCTTCCCAACCTTTTGGCACCAGGGACCTCTTTTGTGGAAGACAATTTTTCCAGGGACAGGGGTGGTGGGGGGATGGCTTTAGGATGAAACTGTTCCACCTCAGATCATCAGGCATTAGTTAGATTCTCATAAGGAGCCTGCAACCCAGACCCCTTGCAGCATAGTTCACTATAGGGATTGTAGTTTTATGAGAATCTAATGCCACTGCTGATGTGAGAGGAGGAGGATCTCAGACAGCAATGCTTGCTTGCCCTCTGCTACTCACCTCCTGCTATCCCAGCCAGTTCCTAGCTGGTCATGGATCAGTACCCCCTGTGGTTCTGTGGTTGGGAACGCCTGCTCTTAGGTATTTCTTACAGGTGCTAAATTAATAAAAATACATGGTAGAAACTTTCTGATTTCTTATATAAAATGCCTTAGCATTATATGTATGGAAAATGCTATCCACAATGTTTATATATTCTTTGTTGATATCACAATTGCCTTTTGAAATGTCATATCCTCATTAACATCTCAACACTTTCCTCTAGTAATAGTGAAAACAAATCATTGAACTTTGGAAAGTGCACAAAATATTATATATTTTATTTTTAGGTAAGATTAGAAGCGCCAAAAAGGCTATTTCTCCTAAACATCTGGTTGTTTGTGGTCCAGAGTCCATCTCAGAACTATAAGATGAACATTGTTTTCATCACTTTTGGGCCTATTTACTCTATCAACCATCAGTTTATACTCTACAATTTAATGGATATCCCGCTAGCAATTAAAATAAATAAAACATGGCTTAGTTAACTGCTTATATTGGGTCTCATATGTCCTTCACATTGCTAGAAAGCATCATTTGCATTTTAGGAAGCTTCTCTTTTATAATTTTCCCACCTTGGGTAAAGTCTGAATGGCTATTCAGTTGATACCTTATTCTCCTAATACCTCATTCCTATTGTTAATGAAGTTGAATGTCTAATCTCAGACTTATTTTTAACATAGTCAATGTTGCATCAAAAAATGTTTATAAGAGCAATGGAGGATAAAGTGCCTGCACTCCCAAGTAGAAAATTGTCTCTATTTTATCTATCAGTTTAGCTCCAGAAAATAAGTTAATTGGAAATTGTAAAATCTGTTGTGTGATAAGGTCATCAGCTTTACCTTGTTAACTTAATGACTATAAAATTATAGCTGTGTTAAAATGTTTTATTTACTCATGTCCAATAAAGGTAGACATTTAAAATAATTGAAATGATTGGGCATATCACATTAAAGGTTTTGGGGAGTTTGACATTCCTCAGCAAATTATTATAGCATATGGTCTGGATCTTTGTGTCCATATATATATCATATTCAAGTGCACATATTTTTGGTCACCTGTTATCTGCTGAATGTATGCCAGGGACTGAGAAAACAAAAGAAAATTACATATTTTTCAGAAACTTCCTGTGTAGAAGGGAGGTAAATGAGTGTAAGTATGTGCTATGTTAATGGTTAAGGTCTGGTTAAAACAGGAAGAACACAGCCTAGTCAGAAAGATAAGGAAATATTTCTCAGTGATGAGCTGAGTTTAGAAGTAAAATTTCCAAGGCTACATTCATGGACACATTTCTGTTCTCTTCATAAGGTCTCTAAATTCCCCAAGTCAATGATTATATGAATTGTGCTCAATAACGGTTTACTTAGTATGCCTTTGCTATACCTCCTTTAGTCACAGCAGTGCTTAGGGGATCAAGAGGACTAATTAGACTCTGAATCTCATAAAGTGTTATGGTGGTAAATTTGTTTTATGAAAAAATACCTCCACATTAATTTTATTCATAAGTGCTTGCCTGTAATTATATGTATCTCATCCTTCTTAATTTCTATTTGTATTGTTAATATGCAAAGATATATTAGTGCAATGGTACAATAGTGTAACAGTACAATTAGTGCAATGTACAATATACAAATAAATAAAATATATAGATTGGTGTCTGCTTATTGTATTAACTCAAAAGTATATTAACTAAAAAAGATAACACCAGTTTAAAGTATAAAAACACTTCTCAAACCACTTAAATTTCTTTTGCTAATAATATGTAAATTTCCTAAAGGTTCTTCAGTTTCCAGGATTCAAAATAATATAATGATAAATACATTATTATATACCTAAATCGTGCTAGAAAAGTACTATGGTCCAGGCACTGTACCACGAGCTCTACTAAGAAATCATTTCTCCCCTACAATTCTATGAAGCATATGGTATTATTAGGCCATATTTAGAGATGAAAAAGTTGAGTCCTAACTTGTTTAATATTAACCAGCTTTTAAGTGGCTCAGCTTTGAGATCAAGCTCTTAACAGGCTTCACAGCCTGGCCTCTTACCAAAAATCTTAAATTGGCCATGTTTTCTGTAAGAGATGTGAGATACATTCACTCTTAACCATTTCCTTTTCTGTCCTGTGGCTGTAAGATTAAGGTATTCTATCAATGAAAAGCATTTAAATACGAATAATGAAATGGATGATTATGTAGGTAAGTCTCTGTATCCTTCAGGAACATGTAACTCTTTGTGAGGATTCCTAGTACAAGTTGAAAAAGTAGAGATAAGATAGAAACCTAAAAGCCTCCTCTATTTTGCAAAATCCATTCCAATTTTATTTTTACATAGTTGCCAATATGTAAATTTAGAAATTTGAAACACCAAATATTATAACATAGCTTTTTACAGAATGAATGAATAATGAAATAATAAATCAATGAGACCTAACACAAAAGTTAACTGCTCTCCAATCCTTCTACTTGCTTTATTTTGTTAGATCTTTCTCTAGGCAGTGCCACAGACATCTGGCTTCCTACAGTTCTTTACCTATTCTTTGTTGTACCACATTCTCTGACATTTTCCCAATCACCTTCCCATTTTTGGACTTATACTTTCCTTTATTTCTGTACTACTTCTGTAGTTTGTATCTTTGACTCTTTCCTGGCCTGAAATTACACTCCTATTCTGATTATGCTGCTTTCCACCTCCCTGGACCAGCCAGTGTTGTAGACTGTCTTACTTATAATCATTTCCCTTCAGTAAAATCTTTATTAATAGAAACAAGACAAATTCAAAATGACACATTTAGTATAGCAGAATATAAGAAACAAAAGTAAAGAAAATCAGAAAGGCAATGATCATTTCACAGTCATCAATTTATTTCCCAAGCTTGATTTTATTTACAGTGGCTTTCATCTACATTTTTCTTCACACATAGTCATCAACCTAAAATTAGAAGTCAAAAATCAAACCAATGTGAAATTTTATTCCCCAAAATTATATTTTTAAATGTTTCATAAGATCTAGTATTCAATACTTTTTCTTTGAGTATGATATCTATTTTTTTATTATTTTCCCTTGAAATGAAAAAGAAGGTATAAAGAAACAATTTTTTTAGCTGATATGATTGGATGAGAAAGTGTTGGGAACAAGCCCCCCAAAATCTGGCCATAAACTGGCCCCAAAACTGGCCATAAACAAAATCTCTGCAGCTCTGTAACATGTTCATAATGGCCATAGCACCCATGCTGGAAGGTTGTGGGTTTACCAGAATGAGGGCAAGGAACACCTGGCCCGCCCAGGGCAGAAAACTGCTTAAACGCATCTTAAGCCACAAACAATAGCATGAGCGATCTGTGCCTTAAGGACATGCTCCTGCTGCAGTTAACTAGCCAACCTATTCCTTTAATTTGGCCCATCCCTTTGTTTCCCATAAGGGATACTTTTAGTTAATTTAATATCTATAGAAACAATGCCAATGACTGGCTTGCTGTTAATAAATACGTGGGTAAATCTCTGTTCAGGGCTCTCAGTTCTGAAGGCTGTGAGACCCCTGATCTCCCACTTCACACCTCTATATTTCTGTGTGTGTGTCTTTAATTCCTCTAGCGCCACGGGGTTAGGGTCTCCCTGACTGAGCTGGTCTCAGCAAGAAAGTCTTTGTCTTTCTTTATGCATGTAGTCCACGTTACAAATGGAGACACTGTTAGCTGACATTCTGAGTGTGGATGTATCATGGCCACTTCTCTGCACCTTTCTTACTATTCTAAGGAATGTTTTTAAAAAAGATAAAGTATTTGTAAATTATTGATGACAAACTTTGCTCTTGTAACCAGATAAAACAACCCATCACTTCTAGGGAAGGGATATTCCTGCTCCCATTCACTATTCTCAACAATAACCAGAGCCAAAACAAACGATGGCTAGATGACATTAAATTATTTCTGGATGACAGAAGACAAAGCCCAGCCCCATCTCACACACTTCTGTTGCCATGGTTTTCAAATGAGATGCTTCCATGGTCAAACCAGACTCTCACTGTTCTGTTCATCACCATTTAACTGCAAGAGCTGCTGAGCACATCTATGATCTCTCTTGCTCATGACAGCAGGCAGAATGAACATAAATGGTTAGAAAATACCACCTGTTCAATGCTTAATGCAGGAGGAAAAAGCAGCTGTGCCATTTGTGATGGAAAACACATTAGCTTAGGCTCAGCATGCCATTTATATAACCAACCATAAAAACTCAAAGTTACTGGGGGTGTAGGATAAAATATTGAGTGACAGATACCTGTTTTCCATTTGAGAATTTGTGTCTGAAGATTGTCAAGCACAGAGTGTGACTTACAGGACACTAAGACTCTCTTTGACTTTCTAGATTACAATACTTGCTGTTTGGAATATTAAAATCAGAGTTCTTGTGAAAGCAACAAGTAATCTATCAAGTGTATCAAAAGGATCGAATGGTAGGCTATAGAGCACTGAGTTGTAGCCACAGTTGCCCTGCTGTAAAGAGTGGGGACAAATTTTGTTTTTAGTGTTTATTGATTCCAAAGCATGTAATCAAGAAAATTGTCATTTATCTTTACAAATAGGTAAGAGTGGGGATTCCTGCCTTAATTTTCATGCAAACACAATTCACTGGAGCTACTGAACTTTGAAGAGAGAAATTAACCAGTAAAACAAAGCAAAAGTTGTTTCTTCCTTTCAACGAGGGGCATGAGTCTTTTTATTTTTATTTTTTTAATTTTTTTTTTTTTTTGAGACGGAGTCTCGCTCTGTCGCCTAGGCTAGAGTGCAGTGGTGCGATCTCGGCTCACTGCAAGCTCCACCTTCTGGGTTCATGCCATTCTCCTGCCTCAGCCTCACGAGTAGCTGGTACTACAGGCGCCCGCCACCAAGCCCAGCTAATTTTTTGTGTATTTTCAGTAGAGACAGGGTTTCACCATGTTAGCCAGGATGGTCTCGATCTCCTGACCTTGTGGTCTACCCACCTGAGCCTCCCAAAGTGCTGGGATTACAGGCGTGAGCCACCGCACCCAGCCTGAGTCTTTTTATTCTTATTTTTTGGAACAGCTTTTCTTTTACTTCATAATCTCTATTCCAGATTTCGCCTTCAGTTAGTCGAGTGATACATGTGTTAAAGTCACATTTGACTAGCAGTGATTGGTTTTATTTAAAAAAATGATTTTGAATATAGTACTGTGTAATATATACTCTCAATTTAAAGACAAACAAATGTACACAGTTATTGAATTATGGTTATTGTTTTTAGCTCGTATAGGTTAGCCAATCTAAAACTACTTTCTTTAAATTTCAAAGTTGAGCAAGTGAGAAATTATTATGAGAATAATTGGAGCCAGATTTTAAACAGTTGGGAAAGTAGTTATATATCTACATGAAAATGAGAAAAGAAAAATCTGGAAGGAATTCTACCATGTAAATCTAATAAAATTTGTGTATCAAAATTCATATGGTGATGGAATATCATTTGTTAAAATTATAACCATGAATTAGTACTGACTATAATTAATTAACTAAAAAATAGAGAATGCTCTTGCTCACAGTAGAATGCCAGCTAATAAACATAAAAGGAATAACAGACTTAGAAAATACTATTTTGCCATCATATTAAAAATAGATTCATGAAAAAAATCAATAATGCTAAACCTAGAGGATTACAGTTTGATAAATTGAAGTACATTTGTGTAGATATGAAATATCTCTCCCCATATTACTTATTAATCCCAAATTAAAAATGGTAACTATACAATGAAGAAGCTGGGAGCTCACCGTTTTAACCAATTAATCGAAGTTCCCATCATCAGTAATGAAACCAACAATGTTTACCTCTTGTCTTGTTTAGAAATGTGAAATAAGTAACTGAGAAAACTTACTACAGAAAAAGGAAATATTCATGATAAATAGTGGTTTTCAAATGTTATTCCTTTTTACAAATATTAAAAATTAACACAAACAAGTAAATAAAAAAAGAATTAAAAAAGAATTAGACCAAACGAAAGAAATCTATCTGTATCTTTGAGTGTGTTATAGAGCTTACAGAAAACATTTAAATAGACAACAGACTGATGCCATCACTTTTATTGCCTAAAGATACTGGGAAAAGACATTAGAATCATCTTTAACATAAATGCTGAAAATACATGCATGTAATTGTATTTAGAGTGAGAATGCCTAAGTACCCTACAGTTCTGGAAAAGTAATTAAGCAGAAGACATTATTTGTATAGCCTGAGCTCATTTTAAGTGTTAATAGTGAAAATGAGTTGAATATTATTTTATTTCAGCATCAGGCATCCTTTTCTTTTCCTTTATTTTTCTATTTTTATTTTTATTTTTGACTCAGGGTCTCACTCTGTTATCCAGGCTGGACTGCAGTGGCCCAGTCATAGCTGACTGCAACCTCGAAATCCTGTGCTGAATATTTTCTCCCACCTCATCCTCCCAAGTAGCTAGGATAGCTAAGACCACAGGTGTGAAACACCACACTTAGCTGCATCAGGAATCCTTTAACAGTATTATTCTGTGGAGCTGAATGCTACCACTTTCTGTGGCAAAGATGTATATACTTCTGTATCGAAGGTCCTATCAGTCAGAAACAAGTTCGCCATTAACAATATCTCCCAGATCTGAATTATGACCCAATTGATAACTGTACTCATATAAAATAAAAAAATCTACACTCTGGAAACAGAGTTCATGCTTACAGAATTTAGACATCTTCATGTCAGAAATCCTGCATGAAACACTGAAGAGTTTATTCTACTGGATGCAGAATTATAGTTTTGTTAACTTAATGGCTTTTAATTAGCATGTTGGCCCTGCTTGTTTGTTTGACTATATTGGCAGATTAATATGAAGTAGAGGTAGATGAGAGGGAAATATACCTGTGAACTTACCTACAAGACTTTTACTGTCTTTTGTTCACATGGATGTTTTTGGTCTCATCATCAGGATAGTGGTCTCATTATTAGTATAGTTCATATTGAGGGACACAGATTTTAGGTTAACTCATGTGTGAATCCATCTGTCGGAGTAATTTTGCCTCCTTGATCTTTCTGGCATTTAGTTTTCTTGTCTCTTAAATGGGGTAATACACTAACTTTGAGTTTCTAACTGTAAAATGTTTCGGGGATTCCAATGATATTAATAGAATCTGTGCCACTGGATCAGGTAATTCAAAAGAAACTTTGAGTTCTCATTGGTGGAAAATTCAATATTTTTGATTGGCTATGGCAGGACCAAGTGAGTTAGTTATGCAGATGCCAGTATGACTGCTACCACCCTATCTGTTATCTCAGCACTGGGCAGAATGACACTTAGCTCAATTTCTACACATGCAAGCTGCAGCAATGTATTATCTAGGAAGGAGACTCATATCACATACACCTGCTCTCTTATTGCCCAAACAGAGGAGGCTTTAGAGTTTGCAGTGAAGATCATCAATAATCTGAAATCTAGAATAAGCATGTGTTGAGTTTTCTTATACTACATTTGTAATATCCACTATCTTAGGTTTCATATGCATTCCACAGAGGTAGAAAACATCAAGTTATCACCATCATTTTACATAAACATCCAAAAATATATTTTTAAGAGTGTAATTTTTTGAAATATCATTTCAATATGTACTTTGCCTTCAAATTGTGCTACATTATGCTATTTTTAATATTTTAAAGGTATTTTCAGTGCCTTTTCCAATGAGTAAATTAGTTACCTGAACTTGGTGACATGTAACCATAAATGTGGTTATGAAATACTCCTGAATTTTAAAATTTTCCATTTCTGTTTTCTACAGCTTAGCTATCTTTTTATGTCTGAGACAACTTCCATCAAAATATCTGGCTCTTTGGCAATTAATTCTTATCAGAAACTTACTTTGAAAGTTAATTGCTAAGATGATTTTAATATTAACACTCACTTTTATAAAAATTTCACTAACTCATTGAATTAGTCATGCTGACTCACTCATGAAAATGTGATATTCCAGAGAATATTTATGAAATGACTACAAAAAAACTTATCTATAATAAAATATGGTTTCTGACTCTTCAATAGGCACAATAATGGTCTCCCAAAGATGTCTACGTCCTAGTCTTCAGAACCTATGAATATGTTACATATCAAAGAAGAGCTAACATTGTGGGTATAACTAAGGTTGCTAATCATCTGACTTTAAAATAGAGGGAAATTTTGAATTATCATATGTTGAAATTTTTCACTGTTTCTAAAAGTCGGCAAAGTCTTGGGGAAGTTTATCCTTACTGTCATTTTCTTTAATGTTTACAGAGAAATCTCAATGACATTGGCCCATATTTTTTTAATTTCCATTTTCTTTACTCTGTGCCAGCCTACACAAGAAATTTAGCCTCTTAGCCATGCTATCTTACCAGCAAACCCCTCTCATAACAAATATCAAAAATATGTGTACTATACCTTACTAAATTGGTAGAAGGGCTTACAAAAGTGATTTAATATTGCAACAAACGAGCCAGCCTAAAATAGAATATTATTGGATGTCCTTGTTCTAAAATCTTGTTTCATTTCCCAATACATAGTCTTAAGACATTTATCTCCACCAACATTTCTTCATAAGTTCCAGCCTTTTGCTATATTGTTTAAACTTTCTCCCTTAAGCTCTCTTCTCCCATACACTTAATTCTTCTTTTTTATTTTAAAGACAAATTTAGTCTTAAGCCTCAGTTCTAGTTCTACATTTGCATATCTAAAAAATTAATATTTCTGCTAAATTAATATTTTTTAACTCTGGGTATCATCTCTGGCAGCACACATATACTAAAATTTCTTTGTTTACTTTTTTTCTTTTCACATCAGTCTCTGCTAGTAAAAGGGAGCAGTGTTATACAGATTTGCTTTTCTCCTAGTGTTCATTTTGCAAACATCTAGGGATGACAGAAAAAATTGTAATCTTGGAGATGGCAGGAAAAATTGCAATCAGTTTTAAATGGATATGTTGATTTATTTTTTATATTGTGTTCACTAGGATCCTTATCTCAACTTTTTTCTCTTCTCTTTCAACTTCTTTTTTTGCATGTGATATCTACTTCAAAAGTAGATTAAGTATCCTTAATTAAATATCTATGCTTGTGAATCTCAAATGTATATCTCAAGGTAAACTTAATAATAAAACATTTAAAATAATATGTCCAACTGACTTCTTGACACCAGCTATGGTTTTGCTATGGTTTGTCTCTGCCCGATCTCACATTGAAATTTAATTTTCAATGTAATGATGTTGGGAGGTGCCTTTAAGATGTGGGGGCTAATAGAAGGCATTTGGTTCATGGGGGCTGCTACCTTATGGGTGCCTTGACGCTGTTCTTGCAATAGTGAGTTCTAGTTCTCCTGGGACTGGGTTAATTTCCATGAGAGCTGGTTATTTGAAAACAAGGATGCCTTCAGTGTTTGGTCCCTTGGAATGTGTCTACTTCCCATTTGACCTTATACCATGTTATCACACAGTAGGATAACCAGAAGCCAGTGCCATGCCCTCGAACTTCCCAGCCTGCAGAACTATGAGTGAAATAAATATCTTTCATTATAAATTGGGCAGCCTCAGATAGTCTGCGATGGTAAAACTAAGTAGACTAAGACCACACCTATATCCAGACTATCCCACAATAACTTTGAACTTCATGTGTCATAAAAACTTGTTTTCCTTCTAAGTTGTTCCCTGTAATATATATTTGAATGAAAACTACCATTCTCAATACCCCCACATCAAAATCTGTGAGATATTCTTTACAATTCCTTCTCCTTCATCCACTCATTGTATTAGGATATGCTATTTTTTTCTCAGTACCCACTCATTTATTAATTTTCTTCCTTTCAGCAAGAGAATCCTGCATTTTAGCTGTGATAATGGAAATCCAGCTGGAGGCTCCTTTACATAGTCTCTTAAAATTAGGTGTAACCAATTAACAATTATATTCGTGTAAGTAGTTGCCTCCCCTCACCTTCTTTTCTTTCCTACTTCCTGCAGACTGGAATGTAAATAGAGAGCTAGAAGCAAATCTCTACCATGATTCTGAGTCTAACACCTGAGTTAACTCCCTAGGGGAAGGCAAAGCGAAAAGTTAAAGAGGAGTCTCAAGATAATCCTATGGAGACAAGCTGTCCTAGCAATCTCTGGACCACTCATGCCTAGACTGACTAGGGGAAAATATGCGTATTATTTATATCACTGTGTGGGGTCATTTATGTTACATCTTGACGTGAGGATGACTTTGGAAAACCTATGTGCATTTATATGTTTATGAAACAGCCGAGGCTTCTGCTTCTCAAGGGCAGACATTGTGGTCTTTTATCCTGAAGGCCTAAGGGAGTGCATATAACATAGTTGGAGAATTTATTCAAACTTATTAGAATAAATAAAACCAAATAGAATTCTTCAATGTCTATTTAAAAAATATTTATAACATGGCATTATACTTGGCCCCACATATTCTCTTCAGTTATATTTCTGATTCAAGCTCCATTGTCACCTGTTAATCTGTTTATACAGAACTGATACAATTTCCCCAGACTGCTTTCTTTTATCACAGTTCCTTCTGTCTATAATGACTTTCTTCTTCTGTTTGGGGAAAGAAATTACTAATATATTCAAACTCAGTTCAAGCATTACCTCCTTCATGAAGCCTTTACTTCCCTCCTCCAGGGAGATATAATCACTCCTTGCTTGTCATCTTGTAATCTGCTGTATCATGCAGGTGTGTAGGCAGATTAGGAGCCATGCAGTCTGATGACTAGTATCCTACTTTCTGTTCCAGCATCCTAGTATTTTCTCATTTTGACATCTCACCATCTACATTATCATTCCTTTTCAGTTAAGATAGGTGCTATTTCCAGAAAGTTTGGGTAAATCCTCATTTGGGAAGGGTTACACATAAGCCATCAATGATTTATCAACAGAAAACAAGCCCTAAAAGGATAGAAACTTGAACAGTGAAATATCAAACATTTATTTACTGGGGAGTGAAGACTTAAGTCACGGTACTGGATTTGTACAGCTTTAGAGAGCTGGAAACAGCAGGTATGATGCAGAGATACCTTATGAATAATGAAGAAAATAAGACAGTAATGTCTCAATTTATATTCATCATGACAATACAGTTGGTA
This sequence comes from Homo sapiens, assembly GCF_000001405.40. Classification (NCBI taxonomy): domain Eukaryota; kingdom Metazoa; phylum Chordata; class Mammalia; order Primates; family Hominidae; genus Homo; species Homo sapiens. The sequence goes on from NC_000010.11 coordinate 57,126,987, forward strand.
GGTTATCCTGCTACAACATACAGTCCCTGAAATATTATATTTTTTGCATAATTAACATTTACATCATATCATAGTTCAATGTACGTCAGACAGATTATCATTCTTTTTGTTATGCCAGCTAGACCACGTGGTTCCGAAGTTAGAGCCACAGTATAGCAATGTCCATTGAAGAAAAAGAGAGAGATGGAGTAGGACTAGGTTCTTAAGTACCTTGGCCTGGAAAAGGAGATGTGATGTAAAGGAACACACAATTACTGATGAACAGGAACATTCTATGCTATATAATTTATAGTAATTCCTGATTTATTCAGGTTCATTTATCTTTCTTCCCATCTTTAAGTGCACTCCTTATTTGCATAAAACTTCTACTATGCTGCTTGTACATATGAAGTTCCAAGTCTATTTCCTTCACTCTTGCTTTTTACTCCTCTATAGTTCTGCATTTCATGGCTTTACTAATGGCCTACTTGTCTATGAAGTCGATCAAAAGTGCTATCTCCTCCAGAAGGTTCCCTCTGAAATTCAGAGCTAAATTAAATTATGCTTCTTTGTGTGCTATTAACGTATCTTTACCACAGCACTTACAACATTTATAAAATTTATTTTCTTTTTCCTTCCATCCTTCCTTCCTTCCTTCCATCTTTCTTTCTCTTTCTTTCTTTCTGTCTTTCTTTCTTTCTTTCTTTCTTTCTTTCTTTCTTTCTTTCTTTCTTTCTTTCTTTCCTTCCTTCCTTCCTTCCTTCCTTGCCTTGGTTCCTTCCTTCCTTCCTTCCTTCCTTCCATCTTTCTTTCTTTCTTTCTTTCATCTCTCTCTCTCTCTTTCTTAGATGGGGGTCTCACTCTGTTGCCTTGGTTCACTGCAACATCCACCCCTGAGGTGCATGCCACCACGTCTGGCTATATTTTATTTATTTATTTATTTTTAGAAATGGAGTTTTGCCATGTTACCCAGGCTGGTATGGAACTTCTGGACTCAAGTGATCTGCTCACTTCGGCCTCCCAAAGTGTGGGGATTGCAGGTGTGAGTAACCAAAGCCCACCAAAATTTCTTAATATGTGTCTGATTTTGTCTCATCATTTTTTTTCATTTTAACCAAACAATGTGTGTATGATATGTATCTGATGATCAGTGCATTTATTAGCTATTTTTAAGAAATAAAACTAGATTTTATTACAATCCTCAGATGTAATCTTGCAGTTGATCCCCAAAAAGTAAATGAACCAGTTTATAGCCATTTATACCTTCTAAAAGACAGAATAGAGATTAAAAGCATGGTCTCTGGTGTTAGGCTGACTTATTTTTAACCAGACCCCACTAATTACTTGCAAGGTCAGATTTGACAAGTCATTCAATCTCTGCTTTAATTCCTTCATCTGTAAAATGGAAATAAAGATGATACTTTCTAGATTGATTTTGAAGATTAAATAAATTTAATTTGTAGTATATTTAGTGAGTATAATGCCTATGATGTAATAGTAGGCAGTCATTAAATGGGTGATGTAGATCTGTTTGAAAAGAGATACAAATAGATGAAATAATGAATATTCGTGAATATATATATATTTTCCATAATACAATCACACACACACACAACATTATTAATGGTAATCACATCAGCATTATGATACTGTAATAATGATGTCTATTTTGAACAACTTAGTACTGTTTAAATATTCTGACATGAATGTTCTATGTATCTAACAACTTATATGTCTTGCTATTTTTCAAATCAGCAAAAATATCTCAAGATATCGTTTTTGTTCATGTTGTTGGAGATATCATTTTTGTTTCATTATTTGTTTTTCACCATATTAAATGTTAAATATCCTTTTCTAATGTAAAAAATAAACACATTTGTTAACAGCATTGCTCCTAGGGTTGTCTTCAAGTGGCCAAGTGTGGATAAGAGATTTTGAACCTCATGTGGAAAAATACAATGTTTTGGATCCTATTGATAGATTAACAAAATGCACACATGAGTGTGGTCATATCAATGCCAAATGTTTAGCATATTGCAGAGCCTGGCACATAGTATGCTGTCTATATATTATTAATTACTATTATTTTTATTATAACTTAGGCCTACTTAATTAAGCATTTGTATTATTTTTTGTAGGCGTGGATAAGACAGTATTGAATATATGTGGGGAAATAGTCTTTGAATAAAATTTCCTGATAATACTGTGTTAGCTGGTCAGTGTTTATATGATAGTTCTCCTATTTTGGCTACAACTCCGAGGTCATGCTTTGAGTTCCTAATAAAAAAACTACTATCTCAGACCTGTTATGACTGTGTTTAGAATGTTTTGAGAAGAAAATAATTTCTATCTTCCAAAGTGAAACACAGGGCTATAAACGCTAGAGGGACATCGATCTTTTCAAAACCTTTTTTTGCTCTGTAGTATTCTACTATAATTATTAATACTATGAGATACAACACAAGATTAAGGCAGAAAACTGAGATGAAGATTCTCCAAAGAAATGAACTAAGAGAGAAACTTGTTCAGGAATTAAGTTATTTTAGGAAAAAAATAAGTCCTGGTAGCAGCAGGTGTGTATGCTGTTAGAATGACTGTGTTTTAATTAAGCAGCATTTCCCAACAGAGTAATTACCTATGTTGTTTACTGAACTTTTTTAAAGGTTCATTAACAAATCTCTAATCTTCTTTCTTCCCATACTCCAGGTTAAAAGGTTTTTTTAAACTTGTTTTTATTAGAAAACTTGTTCTCATTAAGAAGTATAAATAGGTTCTGAGCCTATGGAAAATGAATGCTCTTTACAAAGAGGTTCACCTAGAAATTCAAATCAACGTGCTCATAGCCTTACGCACATGGTTTTCTCTGAGTTTATAAATTTTTTGTGACATTTTATCATAATGAATTATGTCTTAAATATCTACAACATCGAAAATAGTTTTGAGATATTCTCAAATGAATATTACCAAAGGAAATTTCTGCAGCTGCCACCAACTCTGGTGGGTGTTACATAGAGGAGTGAAGGGGGATCGTGTGAGTTAGTTGCTACAGCCCAGACCTGTATGGTATGTTCTATTTTGAACTCCATAGTTGTCAACTGAATTTAAACTTCCCATGTAGACAACATTTTTATTCCTTATAGAAGAATCACTTGTGAAGTCACTACCAGGCAGGCCATCATGTGAACTCAAAAATTCCTCTGGTTTTTAATGTTCCCAGGAGACTGATTAAGGGCGAAGTATTTTTAATATCCTTACTTATGTTTGAATTGCCACAAATCCATAGCTTTTTGTTAAAATGTGTAATGGGATTGTGTTTTTAAGAGAAAGGCTACTTGTTAGAGATGGCCAACAGATTAGATTATTTGAGACACATGATTAAAAAGTCTCAGGACTACAATAAGCCTATTTTATTTTATTTCAAAATGTTGAGATGTGACTCTTGTGTGTTTTTTGCTTTTTTTGTTTTTTTGTTTTTGTTTTGCAATGGAGTTTCACTCTTGTTGCCCAGGCTCGAGTGCAATGGCGCTATCTCGGCTCACCACAACCTTCGCCTCCCAGGTTCAAGTGATTCTCCTGCCTCAGCCTCCTGAGTAGCTGGGATTACAGGCATGCACCACCATGCCCGGCTAATTTTTTGTATTTTTAGTAGAGACGGGGTTTCTCCATGTTGGTTAGGCTGATCTCGAACTCCCAACCTCAGGTGATCCGCCCACCTCGGGCTCCCAAAGGGCTGGGATTACAGGCATGAGCCACCGCACCCGGACAACTCCTGTGTGTCTTTATGTTTGGGCTTTTGACTGAGTTGTTCTATGTTGATACAGGGATATCACAGATACACTGGCAATATACTCATGTTACAGCCCAGTAATTTTAAGAAAGAAAGAGCAAATGCTTGGTTGAACTAAATTAGGAGATTGAAAAAAAAAGTCCTACATTTTTTACTTGTCATCTGATGCCATCATAGCATTATCATCTCAGAAACAGACAGAAGTTCACGACTGGAAAGAAATATTTGGAAATGACACACCACTGTTGTTTTTGTTCACAAAAATAGTACAGCTAAGATCCCAGCCAGATTTCTTCATACTGAGGTTGTCAAAAATAGATGTCCAAAAAACATTGCATCAAATACACACACACACACACACACACACACACAAATGCACACAAAACTTTCAAATGCAATTAATGTACATACATGTTTTCATGCCTGGATGAAAAGGCTTCTAATAGCTACTCAAAGAATGAATGAAAAGCACAATTTAAAGGACAGTATATCTACAAAATGGACAAGACATAATAGTAACTTTCACAAAAATATAACGTTTGAGTGTTTCTCTCATGTAAATTCTCTACATCATACAATCACGTATATTTCCTCTAATAACTACATATGAAATTTTTAAACAATTGTAATTGTAATTTATTGCAACAAAATCATAAAACTAAACTTTGTAAGGCATTTGACTGATCACTGTACTCTTGCATAGCATAGGTGACATACCACTTAAAAAATTTTTAAAGCCCCAGATAGTCCAAAATCTTCCTAATTTTCAAAGAGAAACAAAAGATACGGCACTACTTTTATTCTTTCATTAATCTAAAACTAGTCTTTTCAACGAAACTATAAAATGTGAGAAAAATAAAGTCAACATTTAACCCTATGCCAAAAGATCCTTAATATTTGCAAATATTTGTCTTATAAATCCTTAGCTTCTGGTGACCATTCAATTAATAAATATAGTTGGTCCTTTATGTTCCTGGTATCTTCCTGCATTATAATTTTAAGAGTTTAAGACTTCATCCATTAACCCCGTAAGAACAAGCATGAATATATCACATGAAGCTAAAGTGGGAGAATCACCTGAGCCTGGAGGGCTGCAGTGAGCTGTGATCGTGATCGTGATCGTGATCGTGCCACTGCACTCCTGGGCAACAAAGTGAGACTCTTTCTCAAAAACAAAACAAAACAAGTTACACAAAAGAATTCATATTGTTACTTTTCAAACTTATAAGTGTTTGTACATGTAGTCTTTAGTTAATTGGTGTGAATTTTGCATTCAAGGTTAAACAAACAAACAAACAAACAAAAACCCAGAACAGGATTGCCCTTAGTTTTATCATTTCTTGCTATATTATATTCCATCAAGGAATGTGAGGGCAGAAAGTGACTACCACGCAATTGTAAAATTCAGCTTTAATAGGGTCTCTAATAATTTCTTAGATAAACTTGTGGAGTAGATTAATGTGAGGACTGGGCTGTGAATTTATCACTTTATCTCTTCTGTATCAACCATAATTGGTGTTCCACAAAAATTTGTGTAATTAATATGAAGTCCTCAAATAAATCTTGAGCATCAGTAATCAAGTGAAATATTATGTATAATACAGATTAAAATTTGGACATTTTCTTTTATATTTCAATACCGTGGATAAAACACGCGTATGCACACACACAACACACACAAACACACAGTTTTAAATCTTGTTATGGTAGCATTCTATAAGGAAGAAAAGACCTCAGATTGCATTCTCATGTGAAGATTTAAGTGAGAATAAAATAATTATCTAGTAAATCCTGGTGGTACTTAGTCCATCATGATAATTAAGGCAGATTTTATGCATAATTGCATTGACCTCATATTTTCCCTTATTATTTGTAGACACATTACAATATATCCAAAAAAACGTAATTTGGCTTGTCAATAATGAAATGTCAAGTCTGTAGTACTTCCTGGTTTATAATGGAATTTTAATAAAATTGTAAAAGCTATCTAAAATGATACCAATAAATCATTTTAGGTAACACTTTCAGTAATATTCATTTAATGCATGTACAACCCTCTAAGTTTCATTCTTTTGAATTTAATGTATTCCTGCTGTACCATATTTTCATTATTTGGGGTATGATCATACATTCTGTCTAGTTTTGCTTTATGATATTTATGATATTTTTATTGTTTTCAGTACAGAAACTAAGCTAGATGTCCTTATGCCGGGCAGGCGATTGGTTTTAGACTCTGGTCCTTATTTAAAATTAAGTGCAAATTTTCATTTAAATATATTTTGGGGGTTACTAAAATGAAAAAAACTGACTCAAGAACTAAACTACAATTAAAACATATGATCAAAATACTATTATAACAGGAAATATAATTTAGAAACTATAGAGTTGCCAATAGAGAGCTCTGAGGGATATTCCTAGCATTTTCTTTTTTTAAAAAAGGAAAAAGTTGATGCATATATTTAAGTTATTTTGGTTCTATTAGCTTTAATAAGGGTCTATGAGTCTAAGAAAAGAGATTTTTCATGAACTGTGGATTTAATATTAAGGCAAGGAATCTGTGGTAGAGAGAATTCTGAAATGCCATCCTGCCAAGGTTTCTACCCTCTGGTTAGGTGCCCCATTCTCTCTCTTCTGGAGTGTGGGTGGGAACACGAATACAATGCATTCCGCTTCCTTCGTGAGGTTATCTTATAATACATGCCAAAGCAGAAAGGAATGTGAGGAAAGAACTAAAATCTCAAATCAATTGACCATAAATTAATCCTGAGTGGATGTGACCTATTGAGGTGAACTCTTAAATACAATCTAGACCCTTCTTGAAGACAGACTGTAGAAGCCAGGAGAAATTCTCCTGCTCCATCGGGAAGAAGCAAACTTCCATATTGAGGCAACAGATTAAGACCAAGCTATAGGAGCTGAAAGCAAACCCTAAAAGACAAATAGCAAAAGAATGAACACCTCAGTCCTACCGATACAAGAAAATCTTTCATCAAATGAAGAGCAGTTTGTTTTAATTGTTTTATCTTCGACTCAAATTATCTGAATTTACTTGACAATGACAATAATTTACATTCAAGAGCACTTTACACAATGACTTGACAAATGATCCCCAGAGTTAAAATTTGCTGCCTTCCACATTATTTTTTGTTGTTGTTTTCTGGATATTTCTGTAATATAATAGGCTAACAAAAGTATGAATATTATTTTCTACATACATTAAGAAGAATTGTGCAACAGTATTTTGCTTAGGATTGAAATATTTTAAAATATCAAAGTATTCTCTTGAAACTGAAGTTGGAAAATGCCATGTATAAATTGCTTCCTTTAACCAGAGAAAAGCAATGCAACAAAGGTGAATTCAGGTGCAATAAAATTTTAATTTAAATTTCCCAGTTATTATAATAGGTTTTAGAACTTACAGATAACTTTTTATAACATAAAAGTTATGAATATATTTTCCAAAAGCTCAAAAAAGCTGAAGGACTTCAAAAATGATATCTTAGAATGATGAAAATAATACAATAGAAAACAGGCAGGTAGTGAAGACCTGGTCAACATCCTACCTGTAAGCTATTTTAAGGGGTTGCTAAATAAGCATAAAACAATCTTTGCAAAAAAATTATAACAGTGAGAAAATTATGACAGTGAAAGAGATCTGATTTAACCCACCTCCCGTCTTGCCTTTTTCTAAGTTGTCCTGAGGTTTTGGGGCAAGCTAACTTTGAGAGACATTTAGATTGTAGTTTAAATGATACTAGCCATTCTACAAAAGTCGACTACCTTTGTAAACCTAATAAAAGCCCCTCAGACTGGGGAGGAGAGGAATCTAAATTATGCCTATACACATAAACAATTCCCAGTCACACCTGCAGATAACACCACTATTGTATATCGGCCTTCTGAGATATCTATTCAGGTTTTTTGCATGTCTGACACCCATGGTTCCACCTGGACCTAATGGTTCCACTTGGACCTGTCAACCTCACTCCTGTGGCCTGACCCAGAAGTGATTCAGCAGGCAGGAAGACAGTTTCACCACCTATGATTTCATCTCTGCCCCAACCTATCAGCAGCAAGCCTAGCAACCTTTACCCCATGGTGATGGTTAATACTGAGTGTCAACTTGATTGGATTGAAGGATGCAAAGTATTGACCCTGGGTGGGTCTGTGAGGGTGTTGCCAAAGGAGATTAACATTTCAGTCAGGGGGCTGGGACAGGCAGACCCACCCTCAATCTGGGCGGGCACCATCTAATCAGCTGCCAGTGCAGCTAGAATATAAAGCAGATAGAAAAATGTGAAAAGAGAGGCTGGCCTAGCCGCTCGGCCTACATCTTTCTCCCATGCTGAATGCTTCTTGCCCTCAAACACTGGATTCCAAGTTCTTCAGTTTTGAGACTTGGACTGGCTCTCCTTGCTGCTCAGCTTGCAGATGGCCTATTGTGAGACCTGTGACCATGTGAGTTAATACTTAATAAATTCCTCTTTACATATATCTATGTCTATATATCTATGTATATCTACATCTATATCTGTATCTATATATCCTATTAGTTCTGTCCTAGAGAACCCTGACTAATACAGATTTTGGTAGCAGAAGTGGTTCTAGGGGAGCAGATTATTAAGGATGAAGTCCCTTCATTGTTTTTGGGGTTTCTGGACTTGGCTGCTTAATATGATTAGACACAAAAACTCTAAGGACCCTACTTCTAACATACGGAGACCACTGAGAGTCCTTGGTGTAAACTGTTTAGAGAGTTATGTAGAATAAATGCATTTGACACTCTTGATTCTCTGCTCATGAGAGGCAAGGAGTTTAGTGACTCTGTATAATACCTTTGTCCATATCTGGAGAACCAAGAAACATAATGAAGGAGGTTGGTTTCTCTTAAGTTCAGTGGACACAATGATGAAAAAAAATGAGGAACTCAGGAATTCTAACTCCTGGATTCAGAAGTGGATACTCAGCCTCAAATCTGCTAAGAATGCCCTGAGTGAGAGTCTTATCTTCTGGAGAGAAAGATCTGAAATTGTGGAAAAGCAGACACAGCTCTTATCATGAGAGTGGTTGACATGCAATGAAAGGTGCATGCACAGCCTCACCAGGTGTCTCCTGTTAAAGTCAGGGGATTGATTGGAAAAGAATGGGAATGTGCAACTTGTAATGGTGACGTGTGGGAGGACCCTGATGATGTTGGAGACACTGAGTTTGTAAACTCTGATGAACCTTTTTTGCTAGAAGAAATAGCTTCCCCATCCCCAATAGTGGCAACATCCCCTCCCCAACCCATGCTGCCATCAGCCTTTACACATTTGTTTGAGGAGATAAACTCTGCACTGCCTGAGACAACAGTGATGGCCTCCACCAAGGAAGTCGCCAGGCAAGATAATGTTGATTCTCCTCCGGAGCCACCCTCAACACCCCCGTTTGCTTCGAGACCTATAACTAGACTAAAGTACTGGTGGGGCCCTAGAGGTAAGGTTCAGAGTGTGACCCATGAGGAGGTATGCTACACTAGAAAAGAACTGCTTGAGTTTTCTAATTTATATGAGCATAAGTCTTGAGAACAGGCATGGGAATGGATATCAAGGGTGTGGGATAACGGTGGATGGAACACAAAGTTGGTTGGATCAGGCTGAATTTATTGATTTGGGCCCACTAAGTAGGGAATCTGCATTTAATGTTGCAGTTGAGGGAGTTACAAAAGGTTCTAATAGTTTATTTTCTTGGTTAGCTGATATATGGATTAATAGATGGCCCATGTGAGCGAGCTGGAAATGCCTGATATCTCTTAGTTTAATGTAGAGGAAGGGATCCAAAGGCTTAAGGAGATTGGGATTGTGGAGTAGATTAGTCATTTTAGACCTATCATCTGAACTGGAAGGGCCCAGAAGATATACCCTTGGCCAATGCCTTGTGCAATAGATTTGTGAGGACAGCACCTGCATCTTTGAAGAGCCCTGTAATTGCTCTTCTCTGTATGTCAGAGCTAACAGTGGGAGCTGCAGTCAGTCACTCAACTACGAAATTTAAATAAAATGGGAATAATTGGATCCTGAGGTGGCAGGGGTGAAGTGGCAGCACTCAACCATCAAAAGCAAAGTGGGTGTAGCTACTGTAATGGACAGCAGAGGCAAAGTGGCAATCAGAATAATCTGACTCATGTTGAGCTCTGGCATTGGCTAATTAATCACAGTGTCCTTAGAAGTGAAATTGATAGGAAGCATACTGCATTTCTACTTAATTTATGTAAGCAGAAAACTTCTGGGTCGAATGGACAAAAGACTAATTTGAATTTTAAAAACAGAGAATCATGGCTCCTCAATGAATTTTTAGATTTGTGCCAGTTTACAGACCTAGAACCTCTTGAATGAAGGGGAGGCCAGGTCCCTTTGAGGAAGGAACCAACTACATTACTGACAATTTATGCTGTTAATCTTTCTCCCTTCCTTCACCAAGGAGACTTCCAGCTTTTTACCAGTGTAACTGTACATTGGGGAAAGGGAAATTATCAAACATTTTGGGGACTACTGGACACTGGCTCTGAGCTGACGTTGATTCCAGGGGACCCAAAACGTCATTGTGGTGTTCCAGTTAAAGTAAGGGCTTATTGAGGTCAGGTAATCAAAAGAGTTTTAGCTCAGGTCCAACTTACAGTGGGTCCAGTGGGTCCCTGGACTCATCCTGTAGTCATTTCCTCAGTGCTAGAATGCATAATTGGCACAGACATACTTAGCAGCTGGCAGAAAGACCACATTGGCTCCCTGACTGGGAGGGTGAGGGCTACTATGGTGGGAAAGGCCAAATGGAAGCCATCAGAGCTACCTCCACCTAGAAGAATAGGTGGGTAAATCAAAAACAATATCACATCCCTGGAGGGATTGCAGAGATTAGTGCCACCATCAAGAACTTGAAAGACGCAGGAGTGATGATTTCCACCACATCCCCATTCAACTCTCCCATTTGGCCTGTGCAGAAGACAGATGGATCTTGGAAAATGACAGTGGATTATCATAAGCTTAACCACAGGGTGACTCTAATTGCAGCTGCTGTACCAGATGTGGTTTCATTGCTTGAGGAAATTAACACATCTCCTGGTATCTGGTATGGAGCCATTGACCTGGTAAATGCCTTTTTCTCCATTCCCATCTCAGGCCCACCAGAAGCAATTTGCCTTCAGCTGGCAAGGCCAGCAATATACCTTTACTGTCCTACCTCAGGGGTATATCAACTCTCCGGCTTTGTGTCATCTTATTTGGAGAGACCCTGATCACTCTTCACTTCCACAAGATATCACCCTGGCCTATTACATTGATGACATTATGTTGATTGGACCCAATGAGCAAGAAGTAGCAAACACACTGGACTTACTGGTAAGCCATTTGCAGGCTAGGGGATGGGAAAAAAATCCAATTAAAATTCAGGGACCTTACCTTAGTAAAATTTCTAGGGGTCCAGTGGTGTGGCACCTGTTGAGATATTGCTTCTAAGGTAAAGGATAAGTTGCTGCATTTGGCCCCTCCTACAACCAAGAAAGAGGCACAGCGCCTAGTGGGTCTATTTGGATTTTGGATGCAACACATTCCTCATTTCGGTGTGTTCCTCTGGCCCATTTATTGAGTGACCCCGAAAGGCTGCCAGCTTTGAGTTGGGTTCTCAACAGAAGACTCTCCATCAGGTCCAGGCTGCTGTGCAAGCTGCTCTGCCACTTAAGCCATATGACCCAACAGATCCAATGGTGTTGAGGTGTCAGTGGCAGATAGGGATGCTGTTTGGAGCCTTTGGCAGGTCCCCATAGGTGAATCACAGCTGAGGCATCTAAGATTTTGGAGCAAGTCCCTGCCATCTTCTTCAGATAACTACTCTCCTTTTGAGAGACAGCTCTTGGCCTGTTACTGGGCTTTGGTGGAAACAAACATTTGACAATGGGTCATCAAGTCACCATGTGACCTGAACTGCCTCTTATGAACTGGGTGCTTTGTGACCCATCTAGTTATAAAGTGGCTCACGCACAGCAGCATTCCATCATCAAATGCAAGTAGTATATATATGTGATCAGGTTTGAGCAGGTCCTGAAGGCAAAAGTGATTTACATGAAGAAGTGGATCTAAAGTCCATGGTCTCCACTCCTGCCACCCTGCCTTCTCTCCCCCAGCCTGTACCAATGGCCTCATGGGGAGTTCCCTATGATCAGTTGACAGAGGAAGAGAAGAGTAGGGCATGGTTCACAGATGGTTCTGCATGATATACAGACACCACCCGAAAGTCAACAGCTGTAGCACTACAGTTCCTTTCTAGGACATCCCTAAAGGACAGCAGTGAAGGGAAATCTTCTCATTGGACAGAACTCTGAGCAGTGAACCTGGCTGTGCACTTTTTATGGAAGTAGAAATGGCCAGATATGCGATTATATACTGATTTATGAGCTGTAGCAATAGTTTGGCTGGATGGTCAAGGAACTTGGAAGAAGCATGATTGGAAAATTGGTGACAAAGGTATGTGGGGAAGAGGCATGTGGATGGACTTCTCTGAGTGGTCAGAAACTGAAGATATTTGTATCCTATGTGAATGTTCACCAGCGGGTGACCTCAGCAGAGGAGGATTTTAATAATCGAGTGGATAATATGACCCGTTCTGTTGTCACCACTCAGCCTCTTTCCCCAGCCATCCATGTCATCACCCAGTGGGCCCATGAACAAAGTGGCCATGGTGGCAGGAATGGATGTTACACGTGGGCTCAGCAACATGGACTTCCGCTCACCAAGGCTGACCTGGCTATGGCCACTGCTGAGTGCCCAATTTGCCAGCAGTAGAGACCAACACTGAGCCCCCAATATGGTACCATTCCTCGGGGTTATCAGCCAGCTACCTGATGGCAGGTTGATTATATTGGACCTCTTCCATCATGGAAAGGGCAGAGGTTTGTCTTCACTGGAATAGACACTTACCCTGGACATGGGTTTGCCTATCTTGCACTCAATGCTTCTCCTAAAACTACCATCTGTGGACTGATGGAATGCCTTTTCCACCATCATGGTATTCCACACAGCATTGCCTCTGAACAAAGCACTCACTTTACAGCTAAAGAAGTGTGGCAGTAGGCTCATGTTCATGGAATTCCTTGGTCTTACCATATTCCCCATCATCCTGAAGTAGCTGAATTGACAGAATGGTGGAATGGCCTTTTGAAGTCACAGTTATAATGCCAACTAGATGACAATACAAAGCTGGGCAAAGTTCTCCAGAAGGCCATGTATGCTGTGAATCAGCATCCAATATATGGTACTGTTTCTCCCATAGCCAGGATGCACGTGTCCAGGAATCAAGGGGTGGAAGTGAAAGTGGCACCACTCACCATCACCCCTAGTGATCCACTAGCAAAATTTTTGCTTCCTGTTCCCATGACATTACATTCTGCTTGCCTAGAAGTCTTAGTTCCAGAGCGAGGAATGCTGCCCCTAGGAGACACAACAATTCAAATAAAGGGAAGTTAAGATTGCCACCTGGATACTTTGGGCTCCTCCTACCTTTAAGTCAATAGGCTAAGGAGAGAGTTACAGTGTTGGCTGGGGTGATTGGCCAGACTATCAAGATAAAATCAGTCTACTACTCCACAATGAAGGTAAGGAAGAGTATGCATGGAATACAGGAGATCTATTAGGGCATCTCTTAATATTACCATGCCCTGTGATTAAGGTCATTGTAAAACTGCAACAGTCCAATCCAGGCAGGAAAAAATGGCTCAGACTCTTCAGGAATTAAGGTTTGGGTCACTCCACCAGGAAAAACGAAAAAAGCATGGCCTGCTGAGGTGCTTGCTGAAGGCAAAGGGAATATAGAATTAGTAGTAGAAGAAGGTAGTCATCGATACCAGCTATGACCACATGACCAGCTACAAAAACAAGGACTGTAATTGTCATGAATATTTCCTCCTTCTTTTGTTAAAAACATATTTGTGCATTTATACACTTGCGCTGAGAAAATATCTTTATTTTATTTCCTTTTTCCTTTGTCATGTGACATAAGATTTATTGACTTCATGTCAGTATTTAAGTATTGTTAACTTCATGTAATAGCATTTGGGTTGGGGATTGGTGCGTCCAGTTTATGAAGGATAGTTGTATTATGTTAGGCAAAATTATGACGTTATTATTGTCTTTATCTGAAGATTATGTATAATCTCAAGAGATGTGTGTGTGTTCAAGTCAACAAAAGGTAGACTTGTGATGGTTAATACTAAGTATCAACTTGATTGGATTGAAGGATGCAACGTATTGATCCTGGGAGTGTCTGTGAGGGAGTTGTCAAAGGAGAATAACATTTGAGTCAGTGGGCTGGGAAAGGCAGGCCCACCCTTAATCTGGGTTGGCGCCATCTAATCAGTTACCAACATGGCTAGAATATAAAGCAGGCAGAAAAGCATGAAAAGACTAGACTGGCCTAGCCTCCCAGCCTACATCTTTTTCCCATGCTGGGTGCTTCCTGCCCTCAAACATCAGACTCCAAGTTCTTCAGTTTTGGGACTTGGACTGGCTCTCCCTTCTCCTCAGCTTTTAGATAGCCTATTGTGGGAGTTAATATTTAATAAACTCTCTCTCTCTCTATATATATATATAAATAAAATAATTATATATATAAATTATATATATTATATATAATTTATATATTATATATAATATATATAATTTATATATAATATATATATAATATATATAATTTATATATAATATATTATATATAAATAAATTAATTATATATATAATTATATATAAAATAATTATATATATATATAAAACTAGTTCTATTCCTCTAGAGAACCCTGACTAATACATCCTTCCCCCAAATTGCCTTTGAAAACCACTCACCTATGAGCTTTGAAAGAGACTGATTTGAGTGCTAACTCCATCTTGTGTCTTTTAAACTCTTTCTTTACTGCAATGCTGTGGACTTTATTTGTGCAGTGGGCAGGAAAAACCTCTTGGTGATTACAAGCATATGTATGTATACTTTGTTGTATTTTGTCCACTTCTTATTAAATTTTATTCTGTAATATTATATATATTTGACATTCCCATTGTGCACAGGTCCCTGATAGAGACCGTAGGATATTCTCAGAGTCATTCTGCAGATGAGCTAATAATTGAACTGATTAAGTAACTAATGATTATTAATATTATTAAGTAGAAGAAATAAAAGAATGTGACATAGAAGGTTGGTTGTTGATAAAATAAACAAGCAAGCAAATAACAATAATAATAACAATAGTAATGGTAATCTTTTATAATCATTTATTAACTTAGGGTTACAAAGGCTTAAGGACTAATTATATAGAGCAATGAAAAGAATTTCAACTTCTGAAACTAATCTGGAAAATCTATAAACATTTTCTTCTCTCCGTCTAAACTACGTCTAATATATTGAGATGTAATATTAAAAATGTGTTATTAATAATTGTTTCATCTGCAGTATGAAGATTATTCAGCCAGGGCTGCAAACAGCAGACACATGCTGAAAAGTGCCTTTGGAGAATAGAATTTGTCATTGAATATGGATGTCAGGAAAGAATCTGGGCAAAAGCAATTGGATTGGAAAAGGAAGCATAATCACCAAAATAAGTAAAGTATATTTTACTGGAAAGCCCAATCTACTTGAGATTCAGCTATAAATATCTCATTTATAACTCATATGAAAAAGAAATTATGTAGTGGAAGAAAGGGATACTGAAATGTTTATGGCAAAATTTTCAGTATATCTTTATCAAGACATTCATTTTGACTGACAGCTAATTTTATGTATAAAATTATTTATAATATCAGCTTAAAGTAACTGGAAGTGTAGCACTCTTTCTAAAACTGTTTATCTGGATATTATAGGTTTTTTTCAACAATATAATTTTAATCTGGTACAAAGACTCCTCAAAAAATTATCCCTCTGATATTTATGTAAGTCAATTAGTCCTTTGATAATGTTATTTATATTTACACACACACACACACACACACACAGGCACACACACACATACACATGCATACGTATTTATTTAGCAAGAGTTTATGCTCAGCACTTAATGAAGGTTTGAATATTGAGACAGAGCACAAAACCTTTATAATTTCAGTTTATCAAGAAAAGGAATTAAAGACTCAAAATTACAGTTTGGAATTGGACCAAAAGCCGGACCTAAAATTGGAAATAATTGTCTCAACCGAACATTTTGAAAAATTAAAATATACTTCTAAATCTCCAGAATATGCACGTTTCCTTCTTAAGCATCCTGACTATGCTATGAGGAGATTATCCTTTCACTTCTTTGTTTCAGTTCTGGTGTGTGTGTGTGTGTGTGTATCTATGTTTCTGTGTCTGTATATTTCATATAAATGACTGATACAGCTTTAAAGTTTTTCTCAGTATGACTAAATTTTAGAAGGGTTTTTTTTCTGCCTCTAGGTCCCTAACCTTGCTTTCTTTAGAGCATCACTTTAGAATATTTGTAATTGCAAATTCTTTCTCTGCCCTTTTGAGATGTAAATCTTTTTAAAAGCCTCCTGCCAGTTTTACAACTCAAGGACCTGGGAGCCATCTCTTTGAAATGCAATCATCAATGAAGATAGTGTCCCTCTCTTCTAGTCTCTGCGGGAGTGTGGGAGTCTAACTTTGGAGGGTGCATTGCTCTAAGTTGTAAAACTACTTCCCATCATTTGGCTGATGCCAATTAGCTAACACAGATAGTCTACGATCTCCCTGACCCCAGCTTTCAAAAACTCTTCTGCTCTTTGTTTCGCCAGAGTTGAGTTGAGAGCTCAGACTGAGTTCCGTCTGGCCTCTGCCCCTATTGCAGTCACCTTCCTTGCCTGTTTAACTTTGTCAAGTGCAATGTTTACTTTGACATGGGTGTGTGAAAATAATATAGAAGTCAGTGACTTTACCTTGCTCTTCTTAATTTTTTAGGAAATTAGCATCATCAATTTCAAGTCCTGGTGAATTTCTAATAACCATGAATCCTTCGATAATTTGAGAGTTCAGAGACCTTTTCTAAATCCCAGTCTATCCCAATGAAAGACTTAATAGACATATAACTCTGCCATACAGATTATGGGTGTTAATCCTAAGTCAACAACTCCTGAAAAGTTTGTGTGTAATAATATTCTATGAGTAAAAGCAATACATCTGGCCCCTCGTATCCACAGGTTTCACATCTGTGGGTTCAACCAACTGTGGATAATAAATATATAAAAAAATACAAAGTAACCATACAAAATAAAAATAATACAAGTGTTAAAATACAGTGTGACAACTACTTACATAGCATTTACATCACATTGGATATTATCAATAATCTAGAGGTGATTTAAAGTATATGGGAGCATGTGCATAGGTTATATATGCAAATACTACACCATTATATATCAAGAACTCAAGCATCCACAGATTTTGGTATCCACAGAGGGCCTAGAGCCAATCTCCTGCAAGTGCCAAATAAAAATTAGTTTAAAAAATAATTTTCTGGATTAGTATTTGTATATGTGTTAAATAGAGAAATGTGTAGCACTCACTAGTCATGTATAGCATGCAGTATAGCAAAGCAGGTCATATTGGAAGAGCTAATCTCTTATTGCCTGGGTTCCCATCCCACCATTGTACCCTTTACAAGTTGGATTAATCTGGGCAATACATAGGAAAACTCTCTTAATGCCTATACATTTGTAAATTTTAAAAAACAAGAATAAATAGCTCTATTGTGGAGATTAGTTGTGCAAATCCATTAAAAAATCTTCTCACACTGTCTGACACATACTAATGTTTCAGTAAATTATAATACTATTATATGAATTCTGGAAATGGCATTGTGGGAAAATAAGAAATACACAATAATCTTAGTATGAAACAATTGTTTGATCTTGAGTATTTCAACTTCTCTGGGCTTCTATTTGTTACGATTCCTTCTACTCATTGGTTCAATAATCGATTGAATGTGAAAATATTTAGAGGAGTTAATTAAGGGAGATGAAAGTAATGGTGGAGCCCTAGAAAACAGATGTCAAAAACTGATTCTGCCTTTCTGGATAGACATATAATTCCACAAATATAATTCCTATATAATTTCAAAAGGAAATAGTTTGAGGATAGGATATGTATTCAACAGAAAATTTAAGCAAATATGTATTCATGACAGTAATAATTGTCATATTATCATGTAGTATATATTAGGTTCTCAAGAAACACACATTAAACTTAATAATTCTGCTTAGATAATATACTCAATTGTAGGGGATTTTGAAATAATAAAAGAGCAAGAATTAGGAAAAGTGCTCCAGGGAAAGATGAAGAATGTTGTTATTTAATCTATTTGATTTCATTCTAAACACTACAGTTCTCACAACAGTAATTATGAACTTTCTCCATTGGAGAATACCACCTCCATACAATGTGAATCTCATTTCATCTTTGATAGACAGTTTGGTAGTGTTCTTTTATGAATGTGACTTAGCAACAATCACCTATTGGAGCATTGTAAATATAGAAAATGCTCTGTCAATGGTTCTTTCAGGAACCAGTACATGGAGATTGCTATCACTAGTTTTGTTCACATTATAACAGGGTATCTACTTAGCATAATCAAATGAACCAAAATAGAAAATCCAAGATAAACAAACAAATGAAAAATATTGAGATTAAAAGGAAAAAAAATCAAACCATAATTATCTTTAGATAATATATGGTCTACGTAATTTTTTCATTAGTAAGTATAATAATGCTATTTAGAAATAAGACCAATATACAAAATTTAATTAGAATGCTTTAGACTAAAAAGAAATTGTGAAAGATGGGAAAAATATTTAAAAATATTTAAAATTAAAAATACTGAAATAAAATATTCCCCTAAAGAGCTAAATAGCAATTCTCAGCTGAAAGAAGAAAGAATTAGCAAAGTTAATGATTGATCAACTGAGGAAGAAAAAGAAGAAGTGAAGAAATGTAGATAGAGCCACAAAGTAATGTGAAACACCATCTGCATACCAACAAACACATAACTAGTGTTCCAGAAGAGAGAGAGAATGTGACAGACCATTTGAATAAACAGTGGCAAATATTTTTATTTTTGATAAAAACCATTAAAGGATCTACACCTAGGCATGCCATAATTAAAATATTAAAAGCTAAAAAGTGTGAGAGAACCTTGAAGGCAACAAGAGAGACAGGAGTCTTTGTCTACAAGGGAATATCAGTAACATTAAGAGCTGATTTCTTAGAAAAAATCATGGGGCCAGAAGGCAATGAGATAACAGCAATCACAGTACCTGGCTTTAACTTTATATTTTTGAAAGAGGTACTTAAAGGTATAGGAAAGAGTCTAAAATAGCCACCACCACCCCTATTCCATTTTCTGGCAGTGGCTGTTTGGAACTCAGAGAAAATTTGTGTGTTCGAGGAAGAGCACAGTGGTTGTGGGATTCTGCATTGGAACTCATTATTGCCCTGTCATGTGGAAAGCAACACCAAATAGAACCCAGTCAGTACCCAAGAAGGGAGCATGTAGACCAGCGCAAGCAAAAGGGAATCATGATCCCAGCAGTCAGAACCTGAGTTCTGGCAAGCACTACCATTAGCTAAAGTACAATGAGGTCTTAAATAAACTTGAAATGCAGGCTAAGCCAAAATTGCTGCAATTTCTGGGCAACTCCTGGTGCTGGGCAACTCAGAGCCCATGGACATGGGGGCAAAAGACCCAGTGAGACATCAGCCAGGGTGGCCAAGGGAGAGTTTATGTCACCTCTCCCCTAAATGCAGGCAGCACAGCATACTTCTATGGGAGATTCCTTCCCGCCACTTGAGGAGAGGAGAGGGAAGAGTAAAGAGGACTTTGTCTTGGAACTTGAATACCAGCTCAGACACAGTAGGACAGGACACCAGGCAGAGTCCTAAGGCCTTCATTCCAGGCCCTAGCTTACAGATGACATTTCTACACATACCTGTTCTTATTTCTAGAAATAAGACTACTGGCCAAAAGAGAACCCATGCCTTAAAGGGAAGGACCCAGTCCTGGCAGGATTTATCACCTGCTGATTAGAGAGCCTTTGGACCCTTAATAATCAGTACTAGGTAGTACTCATCTTGGGCCTTGGGTTAGACTCAGAGATGTGCTGACTTCAGGTATGACCTAGTAAATTTCCAGCAGTGGTGCCTACAGGAGAGTCCTTCTGTCTGAAAGAAAGGAGAGGTAAGAGTAAAGGGACTTTTTCTTATAGTTTAGGTACCAGCTTCTTGGCCACAGTTGGGCAGAAAACAAAGCAGGTTTTTGGGGCCCCCAATTCCAGGCTGTGAATCTTGAATGGCATTTCTGGACCTGCCCTGGGTGAGAGGAGAGCCCACTGCCCTGAATTGAAGGGTCTCAGGCCTGACAGTATTCACCATAACCTGACTGAAGAGCCCTTGGACCTTGAATAAACATTGATGAGAGCCAGGCAGTACTCACCGCAGGTTAGGGCAGTTGTGGCCATGGGGAGAAATTTCTCTGCTAGTGGAAAGGAGAGGCAAGAGTGGGAAGGATTTTGTCTTGTGGCTTGGGTACCATCTCAGCTGCAGTAGACTTAAAAAAATACTTTGACATACTGAAGAACTCATCAAGGTCTCTTACCACCAGAACTTATCAAATAGAAGAAAGAATTAGTAAGCTTGAAGAAGGCTATTTGAAAATACACAGTCAGAGATCCAGAAAATCTTCAAGATCTAGAATATAGCCTTAAAATGGCAAATCTGAGAGTCATTTGCCTTAGAAAGGAAGCAGAGAAAGAGTGGTAGAAAGTTTATTCAAAGGGATAATAACAGACAGCTTTCTATACTTATAGCAAAATATTATTATTTAAGTACAAGAAGGTTAAAGAACACCAAGCAGACTTAAACCAAATAAGACTACTGAAAGACATTTAACAATCATCTCCCACAGATAAAGTGTAAAAAAGTATCCTAAAAGCAGCAAGAGAAAAGAATCAAATAATATGCAATGAATCTCCATTATAACTGGTAGCACACTTTTCAGTAAAAGTCTCACAGGTCAGGAAAGAGTGGCATGACATATTTAAAATGCTGAAAGAAAAAAAAAATTACCTTAGAACAGTATATCCAGGGAGAATATCCTTCAAACATGAAGGAGAAATAAAACTTTCCCAGACAAACAAAAGCAGAGAAATTTATCAAACCCAGACATGTCTACAAGAATGCTAAAGAAAGTTCTTCAATACAAAAGAAAAGAATGCTATTGAGCAACAAGAAAATAAGAAATGATCTGAAGGTACAAAACTCATGTGTAATAATAAGTACGCAGAAAAAAAGATTATAACAGTAATTGTGATATGTAACTACTCATATCTTGAGTACAAATACTAAAACGTGAATAGATTGAAAGTAATTACTACAACAATTTTTCATGATATAGTACAATAAGATATAAATAACATCAAACAAAGTTAAAAAGCAGAGGGACAAAGTTTGTGTAGAGTTGTTATTAGTTTTCTCATTGCTTGTTAGTTTGTGATGCAGTGTCAAATTATCATTAGATTAAAATTATGGTTTATGAGATATTATTTGTAAGCCTCATGGTAACCTCAATCAACATACAATAGATACACAAAAATAATAATCAAGAAGTTATAATATATTACAAGTTAAAGTAATCTTCTCTAAAAGGAAGACAAGAAGGAAGGAAACAAGGAAGAGAAGACCATAATACAACCAGGAAACAAATCACAAAATAGCAGGACTAAGTCCTTACCTATGAATAATAACACTGAATGGAAATGGACTAAACTCTCCAATCAAAAGACATATAGTGGCTGAACGGATAAAAAACCCAGATCCAATGATCTCTTGCCTACAAGAAACATACTTCACTTACAAAGTGAAGTATAGACTCACATAGACTGAAAAAAAAAAATGAAAAGAGGTATTTCATGCAAATGGAAACCAAAGGAGTAGGAGTCACTATACATATATAAGACAAAATAAGTTTCCCGAAAAATAAAACTATAAAAATAGTTTTAAAAAGTGTTTTATATAATGACAAAGGGATCAATTCAGCATGAGGGTATAACAATTGTACATATATGTGACCCTACACTGGAGCACCAAGATATATAAAGCAAATATTATGAGAGCTACAGAGAGAGATAGCCCCTAATAAAATAATACCTGGAGATTTCAACATTCCACTTACAGCATTGAATAGATCATCCAGACAGAAAATCAACAAAGGAACATCAAACTTAATGTGTACTGGAGACCAAATGGACCTAAACGATATTTATAGAACATTTCATCCAATACCTGCAGAATAGACATTCTTCTCCTCAGTGCATGAAACTTTCTCAAAGATAGACTATACCTTAACTCAAAAATGATTCTCAAAAAATTCAAAGAAATTCAAATAATATCAGACGTCTTCTCTAACCACAATAGAATAAAACTAGAAATCAATATCAACAGGAATTTTGGAGACTATAGAAACATATGGAATTATAATAATACCCACATGAACAACCTGCGAGTCAATGCAGAAATTTAGAAGTAAATTGAAAAATTTCTTGACACAAATTATAATGGAAACACAATATACTAAAACTTATAAGATATAGTGAAAGCAGTACTAACAGGAAAGTTTATAGGTATAAGCATCTATATCACAGAAGTAGAAAAACATGAAATAAACAACCTAATCATTCATCCTAAACAGCTAGAAAAGCAAGAGAAAATGAAACCCAAAATGAGCAGACGAAAAGAAATAATAGAGAACAGAAATAAATGAAATTGAAACAAAAAAACAGACAATCAATCAAATGAAAAGTTGGTTTTCGAAAAGATAAATAAAATTGACAAACTAGCCAGACTAAGAAAAAAAGAGAGAAGGTCCATTGCATAAAATCAGGGATGAAAAAAGAGAGGTAACAACTGATCCCTCAGTAATTCAAAGGAACATTAGAGGCTACTATGAGAAGCTATATGCCAGTAAATTGGAAAACATAGAAGAAATGCATAAACTCCTAAACAAATACAACCTATCAAGATTGGACCATGAAGAAATGCAAAACCTGAACACTCCAATAACAAGTAATGATATAAAAGCCCTAGTAAAAAAGTCCCTCACAAAGAAAAGCCCAGGACTTGAAGGCTTCACTGCTGAATTTTACCAAACATTTAAAGAAGAACTAATACCAATCCTACTCAAACTATTCTGAAAAATAAAGAAGAGAATACTTCCAGACTCACTCTATGAGGCCAGTATTACCCTGATAACAAAATCAGACAAAGAATCATCAAATAAATAAATAGGAAACTACAGGCCAATATCCATGATGAATATTGATGTAAAACTCCTGAACAAAACACTAGCTAACTGAATTCAAAAACACACTCAAAAATCCTTCATTAGGACCAAGTGGGATTCATTCCTGGGATGCAAGCGTAGTTCAACTTATGCAAATCAATCAATGGATACATATATCAACAGAATGAAGGACAAAAACCATATGATCATTTCTCTTGATGCTGAAAATCATTTGATATAATTCAACATGGCTTCATGATAAAAATCCTAAAAAAAAAAACTGGCTATAGAAGGAGCATACTTCAATACAATAAAAGCCATATATGACAGACCCACAGGTAGTATCATGTCGAATGGGGAAAAAAATGAAAGCCTTTTCTCTAAGATCTGGAACATGACAAGCATGAGCACTTTCACCAGTGTTATTCAGCATAGTACTGGAAATCCTAGCTAGAACAATCAGACAAGAGAAGAAATAAAGTGCCTCCCAATTAGAAAAAAGTCAATTTATGCTTTTTTGCAGATTATGTGATCTTATATTTGGAAAAACCTAAAAATTCCACAAAAAATCTATTAGAACTGATAAACAAATTCAGTAAAGTTTCAGTGTACAAAATCAACATACAAAAATTAGTACCATTTATATGTCCCTACAGCAAACAATCTGAAAAGGAAATAAAGAAAGTAATTTCATTAAAAATAGCTACAAGTGAAATTAAATAACTAGGAATCAACCAAAAAAACGTGAAAGATGTCCACAATGAAGAGTATAAAATGTTAATGCAGCCGGGCGTGGTGGCTCATGCCTGTAATACCAGCAGTTTGGGAGGCTGAGATGGGCAGGTCACTTGAGGCCAGGAGTTCAAGACCAGACTGGTCAACATGGTGAAACCCTGTCTTTATTAAAAAAAAAAAAAAAAAAGAGCTGCTTGCAGTGGCACAAGCTTATAATTCCAGCTACTTAAGAACCTGAGACATAAGAATCATTTACATCCTTGAGACAGAGGTGGCAGTGAGCCGAGACTGTGCCACTGCACTCCAGCCCAGGTAATAAAGAGAGATGACCAAAAAAAAAAAAAAAAAAAAAAGAAAGAAAGAAAAAGAAAAAAAATTGATGTAAGAAATTGAAGAGGACACATAAAAATGGCAGGATATTCCATTTTCGTGAATTGAAAGAATCAATATTGTTAAAATGCCCATACTACACAAAACAATATACAGGTTCAATGCAATTCCTATCAAAATACCAATGACATTCTTCACATAAATAGAAAAAACAATCCTAAAACTTACATGGAACCACAAAAGTTCCCAAATAGCAAAAGCCACCCTAAGCCAAAAGAACCAAACTGGAGAAGTCACATTACCTGACTTCAAATTATACTACAGAACTATAGTAACCAAACCAGCACTGTACTGGCATTAAAAAGACACATGGACCAGTGGAACAGAATAGAGAACTCAGAAACAAATCTAGATGCCTACAGTGAACTCATTTTTGACATTGGTGCCAAGATCCTACATTGCGGAAAGGACAGTCTCTTTAATAAATCGTGCTGAGAAAACTGGGTATCCATAAGCAGAATAAAACTAGACTCCTGTCTCTTGCCAAATACAAAAGTTAAATCAAAATGAATTCAAGATTTAAATCTAAGACCTCAAACTATGAAACTTCTATAATAAAACATTGGAGAAACTCTCTAGGCCATTGAACTGGGCAAAGTTTCTTGAGTAATACCCCACAGTCACAGGTAATCAAAGCAAAAATAGACAAATGGGTTCATATCAAGTTAAAGAGCTTCTGCACGGGAAAGGAAGCAATCAACAAGTGAAAATACAACCCACAAAATGGAAGAAAATATTTCCCAACTATCCATCTGACAAGGGATTAATGAACAGAATATATAAGGAACTGAAAAAAACTCCATAGAAAAAATATAATAATCTAATAATCTAAAATGGGCAAAAGATTTGAATAGACATGTCTCAAATAAGACCTATAAATGGAAAATAAGCACATAAAAAGGTGCTCAACATCACTGATCATCAGAGACTGCAACTGAAAATTGCAATGAAATATCACTTCACCCCAGTTAAAATGGCTTATAACCAAAAGTCAGGCAATAGCAAATGCTGGTGAGGACGTAAAGGAAAGAAAACTCCCGTACACTGTTGCGGGGGTGGGGGGTGTAAATTACAACCACTAAGGAGAGCCATTTTGAGGTTCCTCAAAAAGTTAAAAATAGAATTTCCATATGATCCAGCAATCTCACTGCTAGATATATACCCAAAAGAAAGAAAAACAGTATATTTAAGAGATATCTGCATTCTCATGTTTATTGCAACACTATTCACAATAGTCCAGATTTGGAGGTAACCTAAGAGTTCATTCACAGATGAGTGGATAAAGAAAATGTAGTACATCTACACAATAAAGTACTATTCAGCCATAAAAAAAGAATGGGATCCTGTCATTTGCAAAAACTTGGATGGAACTGGGGTCACTATATTAAGTGAAATAATCCAGGCACAGAAAGACAAACATTATTAGTTCTCACTCATTTGTGGGAGCCAAATTTAAAACAATAGAAGTCATAGAGGTAGAAAGTAGAATGATGGTCACCATGGGCTGGGAAGGGCAGTAAGGGGAGGGGTAAGTGGGGATGATCAATGTATACAAAAATATTAAATAGAAAAAATAAGACCTTGCATATCATAGCACAACCGGGTGACTGCAGTCAATGATAATTTATTGTACATTTAAAACAAATAAAAAAATTGGATTATTTGTAACAAAAGGTAAGGATAAATGCTAGAGGTGTTGTAATGCCTCATTTACCCTGATGTGATTGTTATACATTGTATGCCTGTATCAAAGCATCTCATGTATATTCTAAATGTATACACCTACTATGTACCCCCACAAACTGAAAATTAAAAAATATTCTGTCTTTCCTAATAGTCGGTATTTAGTGAGACATTGTTTACATACCTCATTGTTTAGATGTGCTTTCCTTTATTTCTTTGAAGCTATTTAAAAGAGTTGGTTTTAAAACTTTATCTAGTAAGTTCAGTGTATAGACATCTCAGGAATAGTTTGTATTAACTGATTTTTTTCCTAAATATGGATCATATTTTGTTTTCCTTGTTTCATCAACTTTTTTTTCCCAAAAATTGTACATGTTGAATAATATAGTGTTGCCACTCCAGAAATCAGATTTCTCACTGCCCCCAACTTAAGTATTGTTTCTGTTGGCTGTTGCTGCCCCTGCTCAATTTTGCTTAGTGACTGTCTTAAACAATTTGTGTAAAGCTTATATGGTTTACCATTCATGGCTTTGAAGTCTGTGCTTGTTTGGACTAGTGGTCACGTAGTGATCATACAGCTATTTTCTCAAATGAAAGGAATCAATATGCCTCTCAGCCTTTTCCTAGGGGTTCTGTGTGGATGTTGGATCACACCATGAAGTTCTGCAAGACATTTTTAAACTCTGTGTCAGCTTTTATTCTTGCCTGTGGAGAGGTTCAAGGTCACTGAGGTAAGAGCTTAGGGCCTACTCTGGTTATTTCTGGGCACTCACAGAAATTCTAGTCTTCTAGTATCCCAGAAGTATGTTGAAGGTTTTCAAAGCCTCAGATGGACAAGGAACATGTAATTCCCCAGCTTTTCCTTTTAATTTTCTGGTTAGCTTGTTTGCCTGAACTGTTACTGCCACCTCAGGCAGTTGTTATGTTAAACAATTGCTGCTGATTGTTTTCAACAAATTCTCCTAGAGAAAATTCTGCTGACAATAATGAGCTCTGAGTCAGTTGGAATAAAGACATGCCCTGTGAATGGGGAGTTTCCAGGTATCTGTCACACAGTGATATAATAACATATTTTTGGGAAAGAGTTCCAAAGATGTTTTCCTCCTCCTCTGGATGTTAGCCTACTAGTTTTCACCATGATTGTAGAAGGGCTTTCAAGGCTTCCATGAAGTTAGGAAAGGAAATGTAAACAAGACAAGTAAAAATACCACAAAGCTCACTATTCTCACTGAGATTTAGATGTTTTTCTTGAATAAATGCTCCTTGGGTTTTTGCAAGCCATGGCTCATTTCTAGAGCTCTAAAAAAGTTGATTTTGACCATTTTTCAGCAGGGTTATCATTTCTTTTATGGAAAAAAAGATTTTTGGAAGTCCTTATTCTGCCATTTACATCACTAAAAAAATACTACTTTTCCCTATTGTTAACTATAGTTGCCCTACTGTGCTACTGAACACTAGTATCTTATTCCTTATATCTAACTGTATTTTTGTATTTATTAACCTTTACTCCCCCTTCCCTATCACATTTCCCTTCATCTGGTAACCATGATTCTACTCTCTATCATCATGAATGTAATTTTTTTAGCTTCTACATATAAGTGAGAATATGCAATATTTTTATTTATGTGTCAGGCTTATTTCACCAAACGTAATGTCCTTCAGTTCCACCCACATTGTTGCAAATGACAGGATTTCATTCTTTTTTATGACTGAGTAATATTTTATTGTGTAGAAAACTACTTTTTAAAACAATTTAGTACTATCCTTAAACTAACTCAGGAATCTATAGCATGAAAACATGTAATCCCACTTTCAATTAGATATTCTTGAGAATATCTAGCATATGTCTACCACAAGGCATCTACGAGAATGTTTCTGATAGCATTGTTCAAAGCATAGAAAGTATTTTAATGATATAAGTATATATCAATAATGCAATAGACACATTCATTTTGGTATACTCAAGCATTGCAGTGCTGTTCAGAAGTTTTTAAAAAGGCAGTTCAGTCATCAAATATATAATTTTCAATGTAAAAAGTCATAGAAAAATATTTATTTCTATATTATAAAAACAAAAAGTAAATATTTTAAAATAATGATAAATAAATAGTAAAATTAAGACAGAAGGAGGGGGCATAATACGCATACATTTTATAGTCTTGATTATCCTTGTAAGAAAACTAATGAATACAACTGGCAAGTGAAACAAAGTGACTTCAGAACCATTTATTATTTTTAAAGCTGGATAATAAGTTTCTATTTTATTCACCTTCATGTATTGTATATGTATTAATGATTTATAACATAAATACATGTTCATATGACTGAAAATGAAAGACTGGAATCATATTACTACTTTTGTAAGATGTTGATCCCAAACCATTTATTTATGATTTGACTATGTTTTCCTCAAAAAAAGAAAAAATAAATCCTCAAGTAGTGATCTGTAGTTACCTTCAAGTAGTTTAGTGGAAAGTTTCAATGGAGCTTTACTGCACTGGTTCCACATACCATTCCCCATTTTCTACACACTTTGCACAGGTTCCCTGTTACCCTAAGCAATCAGCGGGAGTCAGAGCAGATGAAAGTTGCATTCATAATTTGCATTTATAATTTTTCTTTTTTATTAGATTTATTGAGGTCAAATAATTATGCAGCAAAATCTACTCTTTTTCAGTGTGCAATATAATGCACTTGACAGACATATATAGTATTATAAGGTGTATAAGCATCACATCAATCAAAGATAAAGAACTTTTTTTCACTGAAAAAATTCCCTTCTACTATTTTTTGTGGTCAGTTCTGTTACTCCAACCCCATCCCTGGCAACCACTAATCTTATTTCTGTCTTCTAATGTTGTATGTTTTTAAGCACATAATCTAAATGGTATATTACTCTATATAGTTATTTTCTATTAGCCTGACTTTTATCACTCACTATAATGCTTTTGAGATTCATCCATGTTGTTGCATGTATCATGATGTTGATTTTGTAGTTTTTAGTGGTGTTCTGTTGTATAAATATACCATCATTCGTTTTTCCATCTACTTGATATTTCAATTTTTTTGGCTTTTGTGAACAAAGACACTAACAATTCTTGCATTCCCACAAGCAATGTATGAGGGTTCTCATTTCCTCACATGCTCATCAGAACTTTATATTGTCAGTTATTTTGTTGTTTTTAGCCATTCTAATGAGTATGTTGTAATAGCTTATTGTGGTTTAAAATTACTTTTCCATAATAATGTTAAGTATCTTTTAATAGCTTGTAATCTATACCTTTCTTTGGAAAAATGTGCTTAGTAGGATGAACAGTTCTCAATATTTTTAATTATATATTCATGTATGTAATTAAATTATACATCTGTTATAATTGTGTTTTAAAAGGTCATCACCAAATTAATTTTTGTAGTTATCAAATAGATTTTATTATATTTGGTGTAACTTCTTCTGATGTAATCTTTTTTATAGGTTATATAACAAAGAAATGACAAATAAAAGACCTTCATGAGACAGTGAAAAATGGTATCTCAGTTACCTAAATGTATACAAGGTTTACACTTAAAATTAAAACAAAAACAAAATAGTTGTTATGAGAATAAAATAATTATTTCTGGGGGCTTTGAGATAATTGGAGTTATCTGAAACTATAAAACATAGAATAAAATTATTTTTGGTGGCAATATCTATCGTTAAATCAATAATTTAGTTTATAGACCTTACCTTTGATAACTAACATATGTAAAAATTTATCAGAGAAGGCATGCAGGCCTGGCATATACTTTTGTATAAAATTCCGGTATTCTAGAAGGGAGTTCATGAATTTGTGAAGTGTATTATACTTTTAATCAATTTCCTAGTGCTTCTAAAGTAGATCAGTAAAGTAGGTTGCATATTTTGGAATGAGTTAAAGAGATTTTTCATTTATATTGGAATTTACGTAGACCCTTAAATCCAACAAGACCTCAACGGAGTGGTTAAACTTTATACTAGTTGCAAATTAAGTAATTTGGAGGCTTTATGTAGTCAAGGTATTATGCAGAGAATTTCAATCATACATTTATTGGCCAAATAGCACCCTAGGTATCAGAAATGTTTTATGCAGCATTGAAATGTGGCTTACTTTAAAGGAAAAAATTATGGACTTGATTTTGACTCAGCAATGACTAATTCATTATAATTTTTAATAAAGTTTCCTGGAGTATAGTATAATAGTTTATATTGTAAAATTCATTTTGTAAACACTAACACCTAGGAAACTATTAACAAAAGTAATCATTTGTATTCACTAGTGTCATTTATGCCAAAAGAATAAACATAACCATTTTACATGAATTTTCAAAATACATCAATCAAAGGTTGTTTCAAAACTACAAAGACAATCCATTAAATTCTAAAGTATTTTAAGAGGGCTAAAATGAGAATTGGTCTCAACAAAAAAAGTAAAATTATCAGTTGACGTTAGTAAGTACTAAATGATCATGAATATTGGCCCAACTTAACGCATGCACACAAAAATACACACACACACACACACACACACACACACACACACGCTTAACAATTTGTGTTGCATGCAATTGGAATGCTGCCTTATAAGTAATTATGAAGTTTTCTAATACCTAAAATGTTCAAAGAGAAGAATATAATTGCCCATTACAGAGCATTATGGATAAGATGATTGTATCTAGTTTGGTCTAACTGAAGGTCTCCATCAGCACTAATATTTTATTATTCAAGACCAAGTAGACAGGAATAATTTTTCATTTCTTCTCTTTTTGGTAGGGAAATGATATTATCTTGAATCACACAAAAATATAAAATAAATTAAATACTTCATCCCTTTGGGTTGTTAAATAAATAGGACAGCATCAGTTTGTTTTCTATCTGGGAACCTTAAGTTAATATTGAAATAAGAAACACAAAATAAACCTACCTGTAATAAGTTTTGAAAGTACAAATGAGTATACTAGTCATTTCCCAAGATCCATTCTTAACTATTTTTTTTTCTTTAGTAAGTAAACCAAGGATTTAGAAGCACAAGTAGTTGCCCAGCTAAAAATCACATTTTGCTCCTTATCTTACTGGCACCTCTGACCTTGCGATTAAGGTGTGTTCTATGAACTGGAATGAAAAGGGAAAATGAATCTTCAGAGTAAAATTCTCAGAAGAAACTGCTTGGCCTTACTGTTCTCTTTCACATTTCCGCACTCTGGAGAGCCGATATGAGCCAGCTTTTACAATGAAGGAGAAAACTGGGGGATGGTAGATAAACAGAAACCTAGATCTAAGGATAATTGTTGGAGCACCCACCAGAATGGCAAAAATTTGACAACTGACAATATCAAATGTTGATGAGAATGTGCAGCACTTACAGCTCATATGAATTGTGGATGGAAGAGTAAAATGGTAGAATCATTTTGGAAAACACTTCTGGAATTCCTTATAAAATTAAATATACACCTAACATAAGACCCAGCAATTCCCCACCTAGGCATTTATATAAGTAAAAACATATCTAAAAGGGAATAGAGAGTTATCATTTAATGGGTACACAGTTTCTGTTTGATACGATGAGCAAATTCCAGAAAGGTATAATGGTGATGGTTGCACAACATTGTGAATGTACTTAATGCCACTCAATTGTACAACTGAAAATGGCAAAACTTGTAAATTTCATGTTATGTATATTTTACGAAAACGAAAAAAAAAACTACAGAAAGACTTCTCTAGAAAAGTCCATGTTAGTTTCAATAATAGCTCAAAACAAGAAACAACCAAAATGTTCATCAAAAAGTGAATGACAAAAGGCATGTTCTCACTTTTACATGGGAGCTAATAAATCTTGTTACATGGAGGTAGAGAATGAAAAACATACAGAATAAAGACTGAGAAGGGTAAGTGGGAATGGGGTGGAGAATGAAGAGATGTGGGTTAAAGGGTACAAACATATAGTTTGATAGAAGGAATAAATTTAATGTTTGATAGCAGAGTCGGGGTACTACAGTTAACCCCAAATGTATTGTATTCAAGAGATGAACATCCTAAATACCCTGACTTGATCACTATCCATTATATAAATGTAACAAAATTTCATATTTACCCCCAAAACTTGTACAAATAAAAAATAAATGATTAAATAGAAGACAATGCACCCCAACAAAACAACAACAAAAACTCATTTAGAATAAGAGTTGGAAAATTAAGGCCAATGGTCAAATCTGGCCTGAGGCTTGTGTTTATACAGCTTGAGTGCTATGAATGGTTTTACATTTTAAAAGGATATATTCATATAATCTGTATACACAACCCCTATATGCACACACATACACACACACACACGCATACACACACACCCTCATATATCATACACACACACACACATAAATGATAAATATCAGTATGTGGCCAGCAAAGATTAACATACTTATACAACTTTTTACAGAAAAAAAAGATTAATCCCTGACTTAAAAGATAAATAAAAAGTAATAAAAAGGACAAATTACTGAAACATGCAACAATGCAAGTATATCAAATAAACATTGTACTGAGTGAAAGAAGCCAGGCACAAAAGTTTATACTGTAGGTTATGTGTGACACTCTAGAATAGGCAAAAGCAAGTGAACGAATTTAACATCAACAATAATAAAATAAACTGACAAGTGCCTCCTAATGTTATACATTGAAAAGGAGACAACATTATGTGACATTAGTGCCAAAAATGTATAATGAAAATTTAATTATGAGGAACTAGCAGAATTATCAGAAAAATGTTGAGGAACATTCTACAGAAAAATTAGCTTGTACTCCTCAGAAATATCAATGCCATTTCATGAAAGACAAAGGATAAATTGTACAAGTCTGAAATGAGATCAAGACAGCTAAATGCAATGGGTAGCTGGGGAAAAATGCTGCAAAAGATATCAATGAGATAGCAGATTCTGAATATAGATGCTAATTTATATAATGACTGTTTCTGTAGCTAAATGCCAGACAATGTAGAAAATTTATGCTGAGGTATATCTAAGGGTTAAAAATCTTTGAGAAAGGGTTGGGCATGGTGGCTTACACCTGTAATCCCAGCACTTTGGGAGGCCGAGGAGGGTGGATCATGAGGTCAAGAGATCGAGACCATCCTGGCCAACATGGTGAAACCCTGTCTCTACTAAAAATACAAAAATTAGCTGGGCGTGGTGGTGCATGCCTGTAGTCCAAGTTACTTAGGAGGCTGAGGCAGGAGAATCACTTGAACTCGGGAGGCAGAGGTTGCAGTGAGCTGAGATCACACCACTGCACTCCAGCCTGGTGACAGAGTGAGATTCCATCTCAAAAAGAAAAAAAAAACTTGAGAAGATGAACTTCCAGTCAAAGAAACCATACAATACATTTAAATATGTTAAGTTTGCACAGCACTTAAGAGCCAGTTATGTATATAATTTTCATAAATGATAAAATTCATATAATTCAGTACTTTCTTGATGGTGTTGTTCTTGTTTAGAAATTCTCATTGCAAGCAGGGGCCAATATAGAGGCTCTCTAATTCCTCTGAATAAAGAATAAGAGAAAACATTTTATCAAAGATCACAGCTAGATTACTTTAAAAATTAAATGAAAATATTTGTATTTAACATATCAGACATAAAATCCCAGTTTTTTCTACTTACTCAGGTGAATATGTCCGACAGCTTGATATGTAATTATAATTAGGTTGAACTCCAGTGGCAGCAAAATGTTGAGAAGAAATTTAAATATGGGCATATTGAAAGATGGATTTGCTTTTATATATGAGAAAGAGAAAAAACATAGTGGCCAGAACTGTCTTGAATTTGAAGAATAGAGAGAGGTGAAAAAACAGATGGATGGTCTGTTATGTGATATTTGGCTGTGCTAATTTCTAAATGGACCAATTTCAGCTGAAAACACAGTCAAGGAAATGGCCATGAACATGACTCAGGTGTATCTTAGAAGAAAATTACTGGAAATGGAAAGGTCAAGGGTGACACCATTTTTGTGGGTCACCTAGAAATAGGAGCCACCTCAAACAATAGCCTGAGTTGTTTGAGTGGGTAAGTTGTGTTGGTGAATAAGAGAATTCTATAGGGCAAAGTATTTAATGAGAGACAGGAAGGGCCAGAAGCATGTTCATTCCTCTGAATGAAGAGTGAGAGAAAACATTTTTTCAAAGATCATAGCTTAAATGATATGATCATATATATGATATACTCAGATCATATATATCCATATATACACACACACATATATATATATCTATATACACACACATAACCTTATGTATATACATATATATGTCTGTATATGTATGGATATATATATGCATGTAAATGATAGTAATGGGAAGGCTCTTGAGCTTACTCAAAAATGAAGGAAAAATGCTTTAGATTCACCTTAGAAATGGCAGAGAACATTACTCACTTCCCCTGCTCTGTATTATGAGACATCTGAGACTATGAGCAACTTCTTTATCAGGTAGTTACATATCCTGAACCTCATTAGGCTCAAAAAATATTCCCCTTCTCCTGTTTGTCAGTCTCCATTTTTATTAGGACATGATGTTGATATAACTAAAATCATAAGAAATGCGATTATGTTTATACTGACCAGTCATGGTGTAAAATACCAGTTGAAGGTACACAACACAAGGAATAACCCAGAAACACAAGTTCCTTTTAGAAATTTTTACCACTGTGTTTTATATGCACTCTTGTAGCCTCTCAGGAGGGGCAAAATAAAGTAATAGCTATCAGTAAATTGCAAGCCATTAATTTTACTATATCCATATGAGCAAAATAAATTTGGGCTAGATATATTAAATCTGGAACTAAAAATGAAAAAGAAAACTATCTGCACAAAATGCCTCAAGAAAATGATACCATACAATGAAGCTAATTTCCACCTACTGCCTGCGTGCACTGAATTAATATTCCTCATGAATTTTGCTATTGGAAAGACCTAAACTTAGTTTGATTATCGAAGGATTATTTTCAAATTGGTTTTTTGATGTCATATGAATAACATTCTCTCATGTTGAAGCATTTTAATTTATTTAACATTAAATACTTTTAAGTTCAGAGATTATTTTTAAAGACCAATTTTTAAAACAATGAAACAGAGTCACTACAAGGCTTATTGAAAAGCGCCCTCATTGGCCAGGCACAGTGGCTCAAGCCTGTAATCCCAGCACTCTGGGAGGCCAAGGCAGGCGGATCACTAGGTCAGGAGTTCGAGACCAGCCTGTTCAACACGGTGAAACCCCCGTCTCTACTAAAAATACAAAAATCAGACAGGCATGGTGGGGCGTGCCTGTAATCCCAGCTACTTGGGAGGTTGAGGCAGGAGAATCGCTTGAGCCCAGGAAGGCTCGGAGGTTGCAGTAAGCCAAGATTGTACCATTGCACTCCAGCCTGGGTGACAGAGCGAGACTCCAACTCAAAAAAAAAAAAAGTGCCCTCATAAATGTTTTATTTGAAGGGACTAAATTTAAACCTGATTATAAAACCGTGAGTCACAGATTACATTCTAAACCTTGTAACTCAAACAGATTAGGCTGGTATGGTTCCTTCTGCTTCAGACAGTGGGAGAGGGCCAGATTTATGATTTGCTATTTCTTTCTCCTTTTTACAAGCTTTGTCACAGGAACTAGGGTTTAGAATTTTATAACCTCACATGTTCTCTGAAAGATAACATTAAACTATATACCTTTGACCTTTCCCATGTTCTATAATTTCACTGAATTGCCATTCCAATTCTTTTTTAAAATGCTCGACAGGAAACCATGAGATAAAAATAGACATCGAAAACACTATTTGTAATTGATAAGTGACCAAAGGCAGGCAGTCCAGGCCTGTCTTGCCCAATGACTTTCTCAGCTCAAATGAGATGAAATCTAAATAGTGAATAGAATTAAAACAAACAAAAAGGAGAGTCAATCACTGGAGGAAACCATTCTTTGAGGATCTGTGATCACCATACTTCATTTAAGGGTGTTTGTTATCTGGAAAACGATTTAATTTATCCTTTGAGTCTCAAAAATAAACTAGAAAAATTCAGTCACAGCTGATAATGTGTCAGGTGCCGAGGATAGCATGTTAAAGATATAGTCCCTGCAGTTACATCTGATTTGATATTATTTACTATATGGCAAGGATATTGCCTGGAGATTGGGATAAAATAAAAATGACTACTGCCTGCTTTTTCAACCATAGGATTTCTGATAATGATGTACAGGTCCAAAGAATAGCCCAAAATGTTCAGAACTCAATCTTACATGCAATAAATAGCCAATTTTAGAGTACTTCTTTTGGAATTATTCTGTCCAATGTTTGGAGAATGGTCCAGTTGACAGCCCAACAGCCTTTTCAGCTTTTTGATATTTTAATTCTGCCAGGGAAGTACTACCACCCTCAGCGATTGCATGTTTATCCATGTTCTGCAGATGTAGGCTGGAGAGAAGAGAATACAGATCATTTATTTTCTTTCTGGGTAAATGTCTGTGAAAGGCCAACATGCCTAGCATGAACTCTTTAAATTGTTCCGAGTAACAACAATTGTCACAGGATGGAGTACAGGGACTGATTTAAGTTGCTTAAAGTCGAGAGAGAAAATGATTTGCAGTTGAAGAACTTGAAGTGTCCTCTGCTCTGAAAATGTATCAAATAGCCCAAGAAGTATGTGAAAATAACAAGTAAATGTTTTCAAACATTATTTTTAAATAACTTTTGGTATTGCCAGTATCCTCCTAAATAAGAAGCCCATAATTTAAAAAGATGAACCAGAAATTATATCAATAAACTAATAGGTGGATAGATTGTAAATAAAATACAATGCTGATTTTTCCATTAATTAACCTTGGATCAGGATGTGAAATTTTTTCTCAAAACCCTTTTGTCCCTTTATTTTGGAAACTAAATGAATCAAATTATAGAACCTGTTAGATTTTTTATTTGTAATAATTCTTTGTTAAAAATTAGGCCGGGCGCGGTGGCTCATGCCTGTAATCTCAGCACTTTCGGAGGCCAAGTGGGGCAGATCACGAGGTCAGGAGATCGAGACCATCCGGGCTAACATGGTGAAACCCCATCTCTACTAAAAATACAAAAAAATTAGCCAGGCGTGGTAGCAGGTGCCTGTAATCCCAGCTACTCAGGAGGCTGAGGCAGGAGAATGGTGTGAACCCGGCAGGCGGAGCTTGCAGTGAGCAGAGATCGTGCCACTGCACTCCAGCCTGGGTGACAGAGCGAGACTCTGTCTCAAAAAAAAAAAAAAAATTAATAGACATTTGGGTCTCCTGTGGCTTTTTGAATACTTTGGCACATTAT
The DNA here is from genome assembly GCF_000001405.40 of Homo sapiens. Lineage (NCBI taxonomy): Eukaryota > Metazoa > Chordata > Mammalia > Primates > Hominidae > Homo > Homo sapiens. Next base: position 57,164,213 of record NC_000010.11, read on the forward strand.
TTCCAATCCCTATGAGTACTTGAACTCCAATTTGAGAAGCAAAGTTGAAGAAAGTAAAATGAGATGTAAATTGACTTACCTGATTCCAGCCAAGATGGCTGAATAGAAGCAGCTAGTGTGCACTGCTCCCATGGAGAGAAGGAAGAGTGATGAGTAAACACTAGATCTTTTTTTTTTTTTTTTTAAAGACAGAGTTTCTCTCTTCTTTCTCAGGCTGGAGTGCAATGGCACAGTCTCGGCTCACTGCAAACTCTGCCTCCCAGGTTCAAGTGATTCTCCTGTCTCAGCCTCCCAAGTAGCTGGGATTACAGGAGCCCACTACTATGCGCAGCTAATTTTTGTATTTTTTGTAGAGACGAGGTTTCACCATGTTGGCCAGGCTGATCACGAACTCCTGACCTCAGGTGATATGCCTGCCTCAGCCTCCCAAAATGCTGGGATTACAGGCATGAGCCACCAAGCCCAGACAACACTAGCTCTTTAACTGGATCATCCAGGTGGACACATTCAAACTCATCAAGGAAGCAATTTTGGCCCATGAGAAAGGAAGACTGAGGCAGAACAACTGCCAATTGGGAGTGGCACAGAGCAAGGGGAGGCCCCCCCACTGCAGGGAAATGGTGAGTGAGAGCCCCCCCAGCCCTTCCTCCAACACTGAGAATTGCAATTCAACATGAGATTTGGGTGGGGACACAAAGCCAAGCCATATCATTCCACCCCTGGCCCCTCCCAAATCTCATTTTCTCACATTCCAAAATACAACAATCCCTTCTCAACAGTCTCTGAAGTCTTAACTCATTTCAGCATTAACTCAAAAGTCCACAGTCTAAAGTCTCATCTGAGATAAAGCAAGTCCTTTCCACCTGTGAGCTGGTAAAATAAAAAGCAAGCTAATTGTTTTCAAGATACAATGGGAATATTGGCATGGGTAAATACTCCCTTTCCAAAAGGGAGAAATTGGCCAAAACAAAGGGTCTACAAACCCTATGCAAGTCCAAAACCCAGCAGGGTAGTCATTAAACTTTAAAGATACAAAATAATCTCCTTTAACTCCATGTCTTACATCCAGGCCACTGATGCAAGGGGTGGGCTTCCAAGGTCTGGGGCAGCTCTGCCTCTGTGGCTCTGTATGGTACAGCCCCTACAGCTGCTTTCATGGGCTGGTGTTGAGTGCCTGTGGCTTTTTAGGGTGCACAGTGCAAGCTGTCAGGGGATCTATCATTCTGGGGTGTGAAGGATGGTGGCCCTCTTCTCACAGCTCCTCTAGGCAGTGCCCTAGTTGAGAATCTGTGTGGGGGCTTCAACCCCACATTTTCCCCCAGCACTGCCCTAGTAGAGGTTCTCCATGAGGGCTCTGTCTTTGCAGCAGACTTCTTCCCGGACAACCGGGTGCTTCCTTACATCCTCTGAAACCTAGGCGGAGGCTCCCAAGCCTCAGCAATTCCCCTCTGTGCACTCACAGTCTTAATACCACATGGAAGCTGCTGAGGATTATGGCTTGTGCCTTCTGAAGCCATGGCTCAAGCTGTACCTTGGCCCCTTCTAGCGACAACTGGAGTGGCCATGATGCAGAGTGTCAGATCCCAAGTCTGCACAGAGCAGCAGAGCCCTGGGCCTGGTCCACACAACCCTTCTTCCCTGCTAGGCCTCCAGGCCTGAGATGGGAGGGGCTGCTGCAAAGGTCTCTGAAATGCCCTGAAGATATTTTCCCCATTGTCTTGGCTATTTATATTTAGCTCTTTTTTACTTATGTAAATTTCTGCAGCTGGCTTGAATTCCTCCCCAGAAAATGGGTTTTTCTATTCTACCACATGGTCAGGCTGCGAATTTTGTAAACTTTTATGTGCTGCTTCCCTTTTAAATAAAATTCCAGTTTCAGATAATTTCTTTGTTCACGTATATGCATGTACAGTGTTAGAAGCAGCCAGGCAACCTCTGAGTAATTTGCTGCTTAGAAATTTCTTCTGCCAGATACTCTAAGTCATCTCTCTCAAGCTCAAAGTTCCACAGATTTCTAAAGCAGGGGCACAGTGCTGCCAGTCTCTTTGCTAAAGCATAGAAAGAGTGCTCTTTACTCCAGTTCCCAATAAGTTCCTCCATCTGAGACTGCCTCAGCCTTGACTTCATTGTCCATATCACTATCAGCACTTTGGTCACAAAAATTTAACAAATCTCTAGGAAGTTCCAAACTTTCCCTTATCTTCCTGTCTTTTTCTGAGCCCTACAAACTGTTCCAACCTCTACTCATTACCCAGTTCCAAAGTTGATTCCATATTTTCAGGTATCTTTATAACAATGCCCCCCACTTCTCTGGTACTAATTTTGTGGTATTAGTCCGTTCCCACACTGCTATAAACAACTACTTGAGACTCAGTAATTTATAGAGCAAAAAGTTTTAATTGGCTCACAGTTCTGCAGGCTGTACAGGCTTCTACTTTGTAAGTTTTTCGGGAAACTTACAACCATGATGGAAGGCAAAGTGGAAGTAGGCACATTTTTCCATATCCAGCAGGAGAGAGAGAGCAAAGGGAGAAGTGCTGCACACTTTCAAACAACCAGATCTCAAGAAAACTCTATCACAAGGACAGCAAGGGGAAGTCCACCCCCACGATTCCATCACCTGCCACCAGGCCCCTCCTCCAAAACTGGGAATTACAATTTGACATGAGATTTGGATAAGGACACAGAGCCAAACCATATCAGCATGTATTCAGCATTTTTAAAGAAAAGAGACTGCAAACAAGAATTTCATATTTAGCCAAATTAAACTTCCACAAGTTAAAGAGTATTAAGATTCATTTCAGATAAGCAAATGTGAAAAGAATATGTTACACCCAAACCTACCTTCCAGGAGATCCTTAAGGGAGTGCTAAATGTGGAAACAAAAGACCACTGTTACTGGCCACCACAGAAACACACTAAGTGCATAGTCCATTGACACTAAAAAGCAACCACACAGTCAAGTCTGCATAACAACAACATGACTACAGAAATTAAATTTGAACTTATCAATATTAACTTTTAATGTAAATGGGATGAAGACCTCAATTAAAAGGCACAGATTAGCAAGTTAGATGAAGAAGCAAGAACCAGTTGCATGCTGGCTTCAAGAGACTCATCTCACACGTAATGATACCCATAGGCTCAAAGAAATAGGTCACAGAAAAATCTACCAAGCAAACAGAAAACAGAAAAAAAAAAAAAAGCAGGAGCTGCTATTCTAATTTTAGACAAAACAGACTTTAAATGAACAATGATCAAAAAAGACAAAGAAGATCATTACATAATGGTAAAGAGTTCAATTTGACAAGAAGGTCTAACTATCCTAAATATATACACACCCAACAGGGGAGGACCCAAATTCATAAAGCAAATTCTTAGAGACCTACAAAGAGAGTTAGATAATCACACAATAGTAATGAAAGACTTCAACAACACAATGACAGTATTAGACAGATCATCAAGGTAGAAAACTAACAAAGACATTTGGGACCTGAACTTGACACTTGACAAAATTGAATCTAAAAGATATTTACAGAATTCTACACCCAAAGAAAACAGAACATACATTATTCTAATCCTAAAGGACACATAGTCTAAAATCGGCCACAAAATCAGCTATAAACAATCCTCAGCATATTCAAAACAAAAAAGAAATTATACCAACCATACTCTTGGACCACAGCCCAACAAAAATAAAAATCTATACTAAGAAAATGACTCAAAACAATACAATTATATGAAAATTAAACAGTCTGCTCCTGAGTGTCTTTTGGGTAAACAACAAAATGAAAGAAGAAATTAAGAAATTATTTAAAACTAATGAGAACAAAGATACAACATACCAGAATTTATGAGACATAGCTACAACAATGTTATGAGGGAAATTTATAGCATTAAACACCAACATCAAAAAGTTAGAAAGGTCTCAAATTAAGACCCTAACATCATAACTAAAGGAACTAGACAAACAAGAGCAAATCAACTCCAAAGGTAGAAGAAGACAAGAAATAACAAAAATCAGAGCTGAACTGAAAGAAACTGAAACTTGAAAAACCATGCAAAAGATAAACAAATCCAGGAATTTGTTTTTTGAAAGAACAATTAAGATTGATGGACTGCTAGCTAGACTAATAAAGAAAAAAGAGAGAAAATGCAAATAAACAAAATCAGAAATGACAAAGGGGACATTACCACAGGGGGAAAAAAAAAGCCCTCAGAGACTACTGCAAACATCTGCATGCACACAAACTGGAAAATCTAAAAGATTTGGATAAATGGATAAACCTGTCAAGATAGAAACAGGATGAAATCTAAACCCTGAGCAGATCCAATAACAAGTTTCAAAACTGAATCAGTAATAAAAAGCCTACCAACCAGATAAAGCACTAGCCCAGACAGATTCACAGCCAAATTTTACCAGATGTGTAAAGAAGAGCTAGTGACATTTCTGTTGAAACGATTACAAAAAATTGAGGAGGAAGAATTTCTTCCTAACTCATTCTATGAGGTCAGCATCATCCTGATACCAAAACTTGGCAGATATACCAGAAAAAATAAAAATGTCAGGCCAATATCCTTGATGAACATAGATGCAAAAATCTTCAAGAAAATACTAGCAAACTAAATCCAGCAGCACATCAAAAAGCTAATCCACCATAATCAAGTAGGCTTTATTCCTGTGATGTAAGGTTGTTTCAACATGTGGAAGTCATTAAATGTGATTCATTACTTAAACAGAACTAACGACAAAAAGCACATTATCATTTCAATAGATACAGAAAAGGCTTTTGATATAATTCAACATCGCTTCAAGTTAATAATCCTCAACAAACTAGGCGTTGAAGGAACATACTTTAAAAAACTAACAGCCATCTATGACAAACCCACATTATACTGAACAGGCAAAAACTGGAAGCATTCCCCTTGAGACCTGAAATAAGACAAAGATGCCCATTCTAACCACTTCTATTCAACATAGTACTGTATGTCCTAGCCAGAGTAATCAAGCAAGATAAATAAATAAAAGGCATCTAAATAGGAAGCGAGAAGGTCAAACTATCTCTGTTTGCAGATGATATGATTCTATAGGTAGAAAACCTCATAGTCTCTGCTCAAAAGCTCCTAAGTGTGATAAGCAATTTCAGCATAGATTCAGGATATAAAATCAGTGTACAAAAATTAGTTGAAATGTTATATGCCAACAACATCCAAGCTGAGAGCCAAATCAGAAATGCTATCTTATTTACAATAGCCATAAAAGAATAAAATACCTAAAATTATAGCTAACCAGAGAGTCAAAAGATTTCTACAATTCCAAAACACCACTGAAAGAAGTCAGAGATGATACAAACAAATGGAAAAACAAGTGCTATTCCTGTTAAACTACCACGAAATTCTTCACAGAATTAGAAAAAAAATATTATAAAGTTCAAATGGAACCCAAAAAGAACACAAATAGCCAAGGCAATCTTAAGAAGAATAAAAAAGCCATAGTCACCATATTACCCAACTTCAAACTATATTACAAGGCTACAGCAAACAGAACAACCTGAGACTGGTACAAAAACAGACACACAGACCAATGGCACAGAATAGATAGCCCAGACATAATGCCACATATGTACAACCATCTGTCCTTTGATAAAGTTGACAAAAACAAGCAATGAGGAAAGAACTCCCTAGTCAATAAATGGTGCTGGGATAACTGGATAGTCATATGCAGAAGATTAAAACTGTACCCCTTCCTTGTATTATATACAAAAACCAATTCAAGATGGATTAAAGACTTAAATGTAAAACTTTAATCTATAAAAGTCCTGGAATATAACCTAGGAAATACCAGTCTGGACATAGGCCCTGGAAAAGATTTCATAATGAAGATGCTAAAAGCAATACAACAAAAACAAAAATTGAGCAACCGAATTTAATAAAACTAAAGGGGTTCTGCACAGAAAAAGAAACTATTAAGAGTAAACAGACAACCTACAGAATAGGAGAAAATATTTGCAAACTACACATCTGACAAAGCCTTAATATCCAGAATCTATAAGGAACTTAAACATATTTACAAGCAAAAAACAGCCAGCCAGGCGCAGTGGCTCACGCCTATAATCCCAGCACTCTGAGAGGCCAAAGTGGGTGGATCACCTGAGGTCAGGAGTTCGAGACCAGCATGATCAACATGGAGAAACCCTATCTCTACTAAAAATACAAAATTAGCCGGGCGTGGTGGCACATGACTGTAATTCCAGCTACTATGGAGGCTGAGGCAGGAGAATCGCTTGAATCCGGGAGGCAGAGGTTGCAGTGAGCTGAGATCACACCATTGTACTACAGCCTGGGCAACAACAGCGAAACTCCATCTCAAAAAACAAACAAACAAACAAACAAACAAACAAAAAACCTTATTAGCTTGTTGCCCAGTGGTCAAAGTAAATGAACAGACATTTTTCACAAGAAAACATTCACGTGGCCAAGAAGCATATGAAAAAAAATGCTCTACATCACTAATCATTAGAGAAAAGAAAATCAAAACACAATGAGATAACATCTCACACCAGTCAGAATAGTTATAAAAAGTCAAAAATGACATGCTGGTGAGACTGTGGAGAAAAAGGAATGCTTATATACAGGTGGTGGTAATGTAAATTAGTTTAGTCATTGTGGGAAGCAGTGTGGCAATTTCTCAAAGAACTTAAAAGAGAATTACCATTTCACCCAGCAATCTTATTATTGTGTATGTGCCCAAAGGAATATAAATCATTCTACCATAAAGACACATGGTTGTGTATGTTCATTGAAACACTATTCACAATACAAAAACATGGAATCAGCCTAAACAGTAGACTGGATAAAGAAAATGTGGTGTATATATATGTATATATATATACACACATATGTATATACACACACATATGTATATGTACATATGTATATATACACATATGTATATATGTATATATATGTATATATGTGTATATATATACACCATATATATATGTATATACACAAAGTAATACTACACAGCCATTAAAAAGAAAGGAATCAGCTGGGCACGTTGGCTCATGCCTGTAATCCTAGCACTTTGGGAGGCCGAGGCAGCTGGATCATGAGGTCAAGAGATTGAGACCATCCTGGCCAACATGGTGAAACCCTATCACTACTAAAAAAAATACAAAATTAGCTGGGCTTGGTGGTGTGCGCCTGTAGTCCCAGCTACTCGGGAGGCTGAGGCAAAAAAAAAAAAAAAAAAAGAAGAAGAAAAAAAAGAAAAAGAAAGGAATCATGTTCTTTACAGCAACATGGATAGAGGCTGGGTGTTGTGGTTCACCCTTGTAATCCCAGCACTTTGGGAGGCTGAGTCGGGAGGATCACCTGAGGTCAGGAGTTCAAGACCAGCCTGGCCAACATGGTGAAACCCTGTATCTACTAAAAATACAAAAATTAGGTGGGCATGATGGTGTGTGCCTGTAGTCACAGCTACTTAGGAGGCTGAGGCAGAAGAATTGCTTGAACCTGGGAGGTGGAGGTTGCAGTGAGGTGAGATCGTGCCACTGCACTCCAGCCTGGGCGACAGAGGGAGACTCCATCTCAAAAAAAAAGGCATAAATAGAGCTGAAGGCCGTTACCCTAAGGAAACTAACACAGTGACAGAAAACCAAATATCATATGTTTTGACTTATAAGTGGGAGCTAAACTTTGAGAACACATGGACACACAGAGGAGAACATCAGACACCAGGACCTACCTGCAGGTGGAAGGTAAAAGGAGGTATAGGATGGAAAAACTACCCATCAGTTACTATGTTTACTTGTGCAATGACATACTCTGCACACCAAACCCCTGTGACATGCAATTCACCTTTATAAGAAACCTGCACATATACCCTTGAAACTAAAATAGAAGTTAAAAATGTTTATGCCATTTTGCTGTGTGGCTCTTTCCCTCACGTCTACGAGAGGGCTGCTGTTTCCTCAGTTTTCAAACCTGTGTTCTGTGGAGAAGGAGCTAAAAGGCAAGTAGGCAGAGAGTAAAAAAAAAAAATTAAAACCTTAAAAAAGTGAAAATGTTGAAATTCAGGAGATATGTGTATCTCTTACAATGTTTTAGTTACTATAGTGGTGAATATTGTTAGTTTAAGAATGTTTTTTAAATAAATAAATAAATCGATGTATCCAAAGTGAACAGCATCTAACTTGAAGCAGCTCAAAATTCCATTTAGTAATTTCCCTAAGAATGAGTTTTAAAAATCTCAGGTATACATATTGTTATAGTATTGAAAGTGAGCAATGGGTAATATTTGAAATGGAACTAGAAATTGTAAGTGCAAATTTCTTAAGAGTTAGTGCATATATGACAGAAACCAATCTTGGCTATAACTATACTAAATTATTCACAAGGACATTGCTAATAAATTGACTTAGAAAAACACCTGTCATAAATCTAGGTCGGCCTATGATACCAGATTTAGAAGTTATGCCAAATCCTTATCTTCATGGTCATGAAAATAAAGTTATCAAAACAAACAAATTAACTAACAGACAAATTGTACAAGATCCTCAAGGAATACATGAGAAGAATGTCCAATAATAATACATGGCTTGTAGATTGAGATGAGGAATTGCAGAGTAGAAATGTTTGTATTTGACTCAAACCATTTAACCTATAAATATTTGAAAATATACAAATGATTTAAGAATTTTTAATTTGTTTTCCCATATTACAAGAAAAAATATTGCTTATATAATTTAGCAAGATACATAAGTCCTATGATCTTATCCCTGCCCAATTTTCTGGCCAAATCGTCAGTGCTCTATTCCTACTTAACTTCTTCTCTGTGTAATAATAAAGAGCAGCCCTTTGTGTTCAACCACTTTCTATTGCAGAGTGAAACTTTTCAAACTGTACTAACTGCAGCTACCAATTAATACAGACCCTGAGTCTTGCTCAACATTATACTGTCGGCTCTTAACATAGTGTTGTCAATGGGAGTCCACTCAAGAAACACTGCTTGAATGGACACCTGAAACTGCTATTCAAAGGGTGAATGACTTATCTAGATTGCTTAATGTATTAGTGAAGAATTTGTTTATCTGTCAACAATCAGAAGCCAAACAAATATTGACTTACTCAAGTAACATTTATCTTTCTCATTTAGCATAAAGTTAAGAGTTGTGTAGTCCAGAGAAAATAGGGTGATTGAACAATTCCCTCAGAAATCCAGGCTGCTGTGCCTTTACATTATGCCATTTTGCTGTGTGGCTCTTTCCCTCACGTCTATGAGAGGGCTGCTGTTTCCCCAGTTTTCAAACCTGTGTTCTGTGGAGAAGGAGCTAAAAGGCAAGTAGGCAGAGAGTAAAAAAAAAAAAAAAATGTAGCAGTATCTGCCTTCTTAAAAACATTTACCAGACATCCAGACAACAGCTCCATGTTATACCTCTTTGGCTAGACTCATATCATGCGGTCTGTTTTAAATAAAAGGCAGTTTGGGACAGTTACATTTTCTATTGGAAATATCACCAAGTTAGGATTCTCTTAGCATTGAAGATTGAACTTTCTTGAACAATCACAAGATATTGTTGTCATCCTAAGGAGTCCTCAACACATTTTTTGTGTGTGAATAATTTATGTTCCTTCCACAGTTTTTGTTTAGATAAAGTGGTCAGATTTGATATTTGTTTTATCTTATGGTGGTTGTATTCTAGCCATTATCCTATTTGGGAAATGGCCACTGCCTTAAGGAAATTCGGGCACTGTAATTTCATCTTTGCTGGAGTGTGCTGTTATTTATTAGATAAGTCTCAGTAGAATATTTTGTAACAGAGTTCTCCTGCCACAGTCTAAAAACCTGATAAGACTTCCCCATACAACACCTTTGTATAGATTTTTTGTTTTGACAGGGTTTCACTCCATCACCCAGGCTGGAGTGCAGAGCCTTGATCATATCTCACTGCAGCCTCAACCTCCTGAGCTTAAAGGATCCTCCCATCTCAGCCTCCTCAATAGGTGGTACTATTGGTGCATGCCACTGCACCTGGCTAATTTTTTTTTTTTTTTTTTTTGCAGAGGCAAGGTCTTGCTTTGTTGCCCAGGCTGCTGGCCTTGAACTCCAGGCTTCAAGCAATCATCCCATCTTGGCCTTCCAAAATGTGGGGATTACAGGCAGCATTTTGGAAGGTGACCTGGATAGGCCTAGATCTTATTGTTTAATATACAGAAATAATCATTTTTTTAATCATGCAACCTGTAAATTATGTAAATCTCTATTAAATGATATCATATGTCATTATCAAGTGCATTAGATCTCTCTTCCTCTAACTAACGAAACTTTCTTCTCTCTCTGATAGTGAAGTGGATAGTGCTGATCTGATATCATCACTATTATTGGTCAAAATTAGCAAAAGTTATAAGAACATGTCAATGTTCTGAATTTTTCTTATTCTTCCAACACTTGGTCAGCATGTAGTTTGTCATGAGAAACCAAGTATAAAATTTTGCCTCAATTTTTTTCTAGTATATGACAAGGACCATCAGCATTCTAGATGACAATATATATGATGACATCTATAAGATGACAATATATATGTCTTTGCCGACTATCCCTATCAACTATAGCAATGCTACGTTTTAAATTATGTTACTTGTAGTATTCTACTTACAAGTACTAATTCTGCATCAGCCAGAACATGTTAAGCTATGAGCAACAAATATTCACCAAACAATAACTGAAAAAAGTAAGAAGTTTATTGATTTTGCTTAAGATATAGAGAAATATGGCAGGTGCTGTTGCCTAAATATTGGCGGATCCCCAAAATTCATATGTTAAAACCTAGTCCTAAGTCTGGTGGTGTTAAGAGGTAGGACGTTGGGGAGGTAATTTGGTCATGAGGTCTTCAACTTTTTAATTGGGATTGGCACCATTATAAAAGAGGCCCAAAGGAGCTTATTTCCCTCTTCTGCCACATGAGGATGCAACTGGAGAGTACCATCTATCAAGCAGGGAGCATGAACTCACCAGACATTGAATCTAGTGCCCTGATCTTGGACTTCCCAGCCCCCAGAACTCTGAGAAGTTTATAAATTACCCAGTCTAAAGTGTTTTATTAAAGTAGCCCAAAGGGACTAAAATAGCAGGCATGGTGATTCTATGATAATATTATAAATCAATGATTTTTTCTTTTTTTTTATCTGATTGTTATTGGCACTTGGCTTTTCTACATCACATTTATCATTATATACCTGCAACATTTCTAGAAATCATATTTCAGTTGATGCTATATATATAGGCTCATGCTATATATATATACATATATATATAAAGCTATATATATGTTGTATATAAGAGCCTATATATATACACACATATATATCTATATATATACCATCAGCCTATTAATTAAGAAAAATGTGTGTCAGAAATAGACCATATGTTTTCCTTAAGTAGAAAAGCCGATACAAATGAACAATATTCAGTTTTACCTAAAACATCACACTGCAGAAAAACAAATTACTATACAACATTCAATAGATGTAACAAGAAAGGATGAAGGATCTTAGTGCACAGACAGATGGGTTTTGAAATCACAGAATTAAACAGTTAAATGTATTTGAGCCTATCCTTTTACTTCAGGATTTCAGATAGTTTTACTTGGTAAATTGCATTGTGCACTCCAAAAGAGCGAATGTGAAAAGCATATTTTCTATCTTTTAAACTAAAGAACAAGCATGTATTTTGTTTATTGTGTTAGCCAGCTTAGGCTGCCATCACAGCATACCATGGAGTAGGGAGCTTAAACAGAAATTTATTTTGGCCTTTCCCCTGTGTGAGCCTAGAAGGAGAGAGCTCTATGCTGTCTCTTCCTCTCCTTATAAGGACACCAGCCCTATGGGTGTGGAGCCCCACCCTTATGACTTTATTTAACCTTAATCACCTCTTTGAAGGCCCTGTCTCCAAACACAGTTACATCTGAAGTTAGAGCTTCAGCATCTGAATTATAGGAAGACACAATTTAGTCCATAACACTTGGTAATTTTATAACACCTTAAATTTTAATTTTAATTAACATAATGGGAGAACCTCGGTATAGCTATTAAATAGTGTGTAGTTTTAAGAGCATATTAAATAAAACCATTCCTACATTTTAGCTAAAGGCCTTAAAGGCAGAAGGAATTTTCCTAAGATGTCTTCTTTTAAAATATATTCCATTCTGTATGTTCTTATAATGAGACTTCTGTATTTGTTCCAGTGAGTATTAACTTTATATCTCATAACCCCAGAGTCAGGTGGATTTTGTGACTGCCTCAACCAATAAAGTATGAAATAAGTGACACTATGTGACTTCTGTAGCTGGTATGCAGCTACACAGCCTGCTTCTCTTTGAACATTGGCCCTGAGAGAAACCAGCTATCATGTGATCTGTACAACTTCTCAGAGGCTTCCATGCCGTGAAGAAGCCCAAACTAGTGCATGTGGAGAGAACATTTGGAAAGGACTCGAGTCTACATGAAAAGAGATTCCTGACCAATACCCAGCTACTCTGGTTCCCTGCTGTTTCATATGCAGCCGTTATCTGACTGTGACCGCCTGAGAGATCTTAAATAAGATCGGCTCATCTGAACCCCTTCCTGATCTGGAAAAGTCACGGATATAAATAAAATAATTATTTTTATTTCAATCCACTAAGTTTGGGGTTATGCTGAAGGCATAAAAGAAAGCAGGTGGATTGTCTGGCAGCACTGTTTCCTGCAACAATGTGACAAATGGGAAATGTGCCTAATGAATTCATTGGTCTAGCTAAGGAAATTTCCAGACAGAATGTAGAAACTGCCAGCTGACAACAAATTGAAGATAAATTTCTAACAGTCTTAAAAGAAATGAACAAAATTCTTAGAGTGACAGTTTGTAAGCGAATAATGAAAGCAACAAAGAACCCTAGGATGAAAAAGATAAACTCTGATGAAATATCTGGGCTTAAAGATATCATCAGAGGACTTGAAATTACAAAATACATGCTAGTGTAAAATCTTTATGAAAATATTACAAAATTTTATAAAGAATTTTGTCATATTTTTAAAGGGAAAAGGCATCCCATATGAAGCTACTTTAAAAATGGTGATGTTCAGTTTAAAATGCATAAATGTTTTCAACCAAAAGCAGAGAGAGATAGTGAAATGAATGACTCTTTTGCAGTTGATTATGGCAGCATGAAAATTATGAGAGGAGTTAGAGTTGAAACTGTCAGATGTAGTTAAAATATGCACATACAGGTTACGAAATTGTTAAACGTTTTCATAAAATAAGGAGATCAAGAAGAAATAGAAAGTATGAACAGACCAATAAAAAATAAAAAAATTAAAGGAGTAATAAAAAATCTCCCAAGAAAGAACAGCCCAGGGCCAGATGACTCCATGAGTAAATTTTACCAAACATTACAGAAAAAATAATACCAATCCTTAAAGTTTTTTAAAAAAGAAAAGAGGGAACACTTCTGAACTCGCTCTATGAAGCCACCCTGTTACTAAAGCCAGACAAAGATGCCATAAGAAAAGAAAACTGCAGGCCAATATCCCTGATGAACATAGATGCAAAACTACTCAGTAAAAAACTAGCAAACTGAATACATCACATTAAAAGAATCATACACAATGGCTAAGCAGGATTTAATCCGGAATGCAAGGATAGATTCTACATACACAAATTTGTACACCAACCAATGCGATACACCGCATTAACAGAAAGAAGGATAAAAATCACATAATTATCTCAAAAGATGTGGGAAAGTAATTTTATAAAACTCAACACTTTTTCATGACAAAAACTTTCAAAAATTAAATATAGAAGAAACTTAACACGATAAAGTCCATTTATAAGAAGTTCACAGCAACATCATCCACAATAGTGAAAAGCTGAAAGCTTTCTTTCGAAGTTCCAGAACAAGGCAAGGATGCCTACTCTAACCTCTGTTATTTTGCATACTGGAAGTCCTATCTAGGAAAATTAGGCTAAAAAAATTTTTTTTTAATCCAAATAGAAAAGGAAGGGTAAATCTATTTCTACAAATCATGTAATTTTATATGTAGAAAATTAGATTTCACAAAACATTAGAATTAATAAGCAAAATCAGTAAAGTCAAAAGACACAAAATCAAAATCAACTTAAAAAATTAGTTTAATTTGTGTACATTAAAATGATCTATTCTTTTTTTTTTTTCTTAGACGGAGTGTCGCTCTGTCACCCAGGCTGGAGTGCAGTGGCACTATCTCGGCTCACTGCAAGCTCCGCCTCCCGGGTTCACGCCATTCTCCTGCCTCAGCCTCCTGAGTACCTGAGACTACAGGCGCCCACCACCACGCCCGGCTAATTTTTTGTGTTTATTAGAGACTGGGTTTCACTGTGTTAGCCAGGATGGTCGTGATCTCCTGACCTCGTGATCCGCCCGCCTCGGCCTCCCAAAAGTGCTGGGATTACAGGCGTGAGCCACCGCACCCGGCCCTGATCTATTCTTAAAACATTTTGGGGAACTGGTATTACTCAGATATACATGTAGGACTGACAATTGAGTATTAGGAGATGCTAGCACGTGTTTAGAGAAAGTGGGAACATTCCTATTTGCTGATCTTACTTTTACTGAGAGAAAGAAAGAAATAAAGGGAAAGAAAGAAAGAAAGAGAGAGAGGGAGGGAGGGAAGGAGGGGAAGGGAAGGAGGGAAAGAGGGAGGGAAGGAAGGAGGGAAGGAAGGAAGGAAAGAAAAGAGGGAGGGAGGAAGGAAGGAAGGAAGGAGAGAGAAAGAGAGCAAGCTTTGGTTTCTCTGATTGCAAAAGCAATATATTATTGAATACTTGAAAAATACAGATGAATATAATCAAGAAAACAAAAGTTAATGAAAACATAAGTTCATGAAAGAGAGGCAACCTCTGTTAATATATTAGAAGTATTCTCTTCTATTATTTTTGAAACACATTTATATTTAATATAATATTTGAGATATAACATTTGAGATGTACTATGTATTGAGATTTTAGACCTTAATTTTTATTAAGCAATTTTACTGATATAATTTATACACCATAATACCCAAGCATCTTAAATGTACAATTTAATTATTTTTCTGAGTGTTTGTTTAAACGTGTGAAACCCTCACCACAATCCAATTTGGGAACATTTCCATCCTCTACGTGTAACTTAACTGTTCATTCGCAACCACATTCAACCCCAGGTAACCACCAATGTGCTTTTAGTCTTTAAAAAATGTGTCTTTTTTGGACATTTTAGATAAGTGGAGCTGTACAATGTGTGGCCTTTTGTGTTTGGCTTCATTTACTTTGTGTATGTTTTTGAGGATCATCCAAGTTGTAGCCTGGATCAATAGTTTGTTCTTTTTTTTTTTTTTTTCTTTTTGAGACAGGGTCTCACTCTGTCACCCAGGCTGGAATGCAGTGGTACAATCAGGGCTCACTGCAGCTTTGACCTCCTGAGTTCAAGTCATCCTCCCACTTCAGCCTCCCAAATAGCTGCAACTATAGGCTAGCCACCACACCTGGCTAATTTTAAAATTTTGTAGAGATGATATCTCTCTATGTTGCCCAGGCTGGAATTGAACTCCAGGGATCAAGCAATCCTCCTGCCTCAGCCTCCTAGAGATTATAGGTATGAGCCACTGCATTCAGCCTAATTTTTATTGCAGAATAGCATTCAGTTGTATGGATATGATACATTGCGTTTATCCATTCACCTGTTTTTGGTTATTATGAATATTGTTGCTATGAACATTCATGTACATGTGTTTGTGTAGACACATATTTTCATTTCTATTGAATAAATCCTAGGAGTTAAATTGCTGGTTGTACAGTAAATTGACATTTAACCTTTTAAGAAATTGCCAAACTGTTTTCCAAAGTGGCTGCCCCATTTTACTTTCCACCAGCAATGTAGGAGGGTTGAAGTTTCTCCATATCCTTGCCAATACTTGTTATTGTCTATTTTTTTTATAATGGCAGTTTCAGTCTATATAGTGGTTCTGGTTGGAGTTTCATTTGCATTTCTTTAATGAATAAGAATGTGAAGTATATTTTTATGTGTCCATTAATCATTCATATATCTAGTGAAATGTCTGTTCAAATATTTTCTCCAAATAAAAATTGAATTGTTTTCTTATTATTGAATTATAGGAGTTCTTTATTCTGGATGCAATTCATTTATGAGAAATATGATCTACAATTATTTTTTCCAGTTAGTAGCTCATAGTTTCATTTTCTTAGTGCTATCTTTTGACATGCAAATGTTTTCCATTTCAACGAAGTACAGTTTTTTTTTTTTCTGTTATGGATCTTGCTTTTGGTGTTGTATCAGAAATTTTTGCCCAACCTAGAGTCACTACAATTTTGTCTTATGTTTTATTGTAGATGTTTTATAGTTTTAGATTTAACAGTAAGATGTTTAAGCCATTTTGAGTTAATTTTTGTGTATGATATGTTATAGGGTCTTTGTTCTTTTTTTTCCCATATGCCTATACAATTATTCCACCACTGTTTGTTGAAATGTCTTGGCACCTTTGTCAAAAATCAATTGGGCATTAATGTAAAGGTTTATTTCTGGACTCCAGTGATCTACGTTTCTGTCCTTATGCCAGTACCACCCTCTCTTGTTTTGGTGAATTTATAGTCATTGTGAAATTGGGTGGTACAAATCTTACAACTTTGTTCTAACCTTTCAAAATTGTTCTGGCTTTTATAAGCCCTTTGCCTTAAGAAAATGTAGAGAATCAGCTTGTAAATTTCTGCAATATAACCTGCTGTAGTTTTTGGAACATTTTCTCATGTTTTTATATTTCTGGTACTTTTAACTCAGACATTTTGGGAACATTTATGATAAAAAGGAGGGAGATGGTATAAATAACTTTTCAACTTCCCTTTTTTCTTCAGAATTCACTCAGTATTTGCCCTATGATACATATGCAGAGAAGATAGATCTTTGAAATTGAAAAACTTGTGGCTATAAATTTGTCAGTTGTTAAAGTCTTACTGAGTTCTCCTTAGGAGAACTGGGTTCCTGTCCAGGGAATTGTTTTCTGCCAGTCAATAAAGCAGTGGGAATTCTGCTCTATAATGGATGTGGAACAAACAAACACACAATGATCTCTCCAAAAAGGAAATTAAAAAAATAATTCTATTTACAATCGTGTTAAAAATAATTTGATACAAACTTAACTAAGGAGGTAAACAACTTATAAACTGAAAACTATAAAACAGTAATGAAAGAAATTTTTAAAAACACAAACGGAAAATATTTCATGTTCATGGATTAGAAAAATTAATACCGTTAAAATGTTTATACTTTCCAAAGCGATGTATAGATTCAGTATAAAACCTATCAAAATTCCAGTGGCATGTTTTTACAGAAATTTTTAAAAAATCTTAAAATGTATTTAGAACCACAAAAGACTTCAAGGAAACAAAGTAATTTGTTTCTGAAAGAAAAAATTATTGAGTTATAATTGATACACAATAAACTGCACATATTTAAAGTGTGCAGTTTGAAAAATTTTGATATGTCTATACACCCATTAAAATATCACCGTAATCAAGATCGTGAACATATCCCTCTCCCCAAAAAGTGTCCTATTACTCTTTTGTAATACTGCTTCCTGCCCTTCCCTCCATTCCCAAGAACCATTGATATGCTTTCATTGTAAATTAGTTTTCTAGAGTTTTATGTAAATGGAATTATACAGTATATATCCTTTTTTTGCTGGCTTCTTTGACTCAATATATTTAATTTGAGATTCATCTGTATTGTGACATACATCAAGGGTTTATTTTTGTTTCTCTGTACAATAGTATTCCATTGTATGGCTATACCACAGTTTGTTTATCCGTCACCTATTGATGGGCATTTGAGTTGTTCCTACTCTTTGGCTGTTATAAACAGAGTTTTCACGAATATGCATGTATAAGTCTTTGTATAAAAAGACATTTTTTCTTTTGGGTAAATACTTAGAAGTGGAATGGCTGAAATATATGGTATGTGTATGTTTAACTTTTTAAGGAACTAAAACATTTTGCCAAAGTGTTTGCACATTTTACATTCCTACCATCAGCGTATGAGTGTTCCAGTTCCTTCATACCCTTGCCATCACAGTATGGTCAGTCTTTAATTATTCTAATAGGTGTGCAGTGGTTTCTTATTGTTATTTAAATTGAATTTTCTCAATGACTAATGATGTTGAGCATCTTTGTATATGCTTATTTGCTGTGTATCTTTGGTAATGTGTCTGTTCAAATCTTTTACCCATTAAAAATAGGTTGCTTCTTCTTTTATGGTGAGTTTTGAGGGTTTATGTTTTAATCTGGATAAAAGACCTTTGAGAAAAAAGAACAAAGCTGGAAAAATCACACTCTAATTTTGAAACATATTACAAAGCCACAGTAATAAAAATCAAACATACTGGCATAAACACAGACATATAGACCAATTGGACAGATTAGGGAACCCAGAAATAAATCCAGGAATAAACAGTCAATTTGTCTTCAAACAGGGTGCTAAAAACACACAAGGGGAAAACATATTCTCTTCAATAAATGATGATGGGAAATTTTTATATCCTAATACAAAAATGAAATTGTATCTTTATATTACACCATATACAAAAATAAAATCCAAATGGTTTAAATAATTAAACATAAAACTGGAAACAATAAAACTCTTGGAGAAAATACAGAGAAAAATTCTATATATTGGACTGAACAATAATTCCTTAGATATGATACCAAAAGCATGGACAACAAAAGCAAAATAGACTAGTGGGACTACATCAAACTAAAAAGCTTTTGCACAGAAAACAATAAAAAAAAATGAAACGGCAACCTAAGGAATGGGAGGAAATGTTTACAAATTATATATCTGATAAAGGATTAATGTCCAAAATATATAACAGATTCCTGTAATTCAATTGCCAAAAAAAAAACCATTAAAAAATGGACAAAATACCTAAATAGACATATTTCCAAGAAAGACATGCAAATGGCCAACAGGTATATGAAACGATGCTCAACAGCCCTAATCATTACGGAAATGAAAATCAAAACCACAATGAGATATCACTTTATGCCTTTTAGAATAGCTGATATTGAAAAGACAAGAAATAAGTGTCATTGAGTATGTGGAAAAAGGGAAGCCTTATACTGATTGTGGGAATATAAATTCGTGAAGCCTTCATGTAAAATAATATGGAAATCTCTCAAAAATTAAAATAGAACTACCATTTGATTTAGCAGTTTTACTTATGGACATATATTCCAAGGAATTGAAATCAAGATCTTGAAGAGACTTCTGCACTCCCTTATTTAGCACAACATTATTCATAATAGCCAAGATATGCAAACAACCTAAATGCCTAAATGCCCACTGACAGATTAAAGAAAATGGGGTGGGGGTCTATGTATATATATGCAATGTAATGGCATTTGACCTTTAAAAGAAGAAATTCTATTTGTGACAATGTTACCAAAACACCAGGGGTTCAGTCCAGGTGCTGCTGCTTGCTATACAGAAAGCCAGTCACTGAGACAAGAAGTAATGCCAAGGATGAAGACTTTAATTGGGTTCTGTATCCCAGTAGATGGGAGCTCAGTCTCAAATCCATATCCCTGTTTGACTAATACTAGGGGTTTATACAACAGGGGAAGAAATGTAACGATATGTAAGAAAACAGGAACTAGGGAGGGGCGAGGAAGCAATCATGATAAATGAGGAGTCCAACATCTCATTGTCTGGATGTGGTGATCTGATGAGTTTCAGTTCTTTGATACTTTTTTTTGAGAGGTCTGAAGGTCATTTCCTGAGGAAGGAACTCAGATAAAACAAAGATAACACTCAAGCTGTAAGACCAGAAGGGTCAATTTCTATGTTTGTCCAAAAAAAACTATCTCTGGGACTATTGAGTCAGTTTCAACAACATGGACAGATCTGAAGGATATTATGTTATGTGAAATAAGCCAGACATTGAAAGACAAATATTGCATGATCTTACTAAAATGGTCAAATACATAGAACAATGAGTAGAATGGTAGTTAGTCGACAGGCGCAGGGAAGGGGCAAATGGTCAGGTGTGAGTCAAAGTGTATACAAAATTTGTTATGCAAGAAAAATAAGTTCTGGGGATCTCTTGTAAATCATAGGGCCTATAATTCACAATACTGTACAGTATAGTTAAAATTTGCTAAATGAGCACATCTTATGTGAACTGCTGTTAACATAGAAAGACAGAACAAAGCAAAAAACACAAAGGGGATAGAAGGAAACTTTTGGAAGTGATAGTTAAGTTTACGGCATTCTGATGATGCTTTTGTTCTATTCTTTGCTTATTTGAGAATGACTACTTTAGATACCTTATATCTAAATCACACACACATATATATATATGTATGTGTGTGTGTGTGTGTGTGTGTGTGTGTGTGTAACCATGTAGTATCTACCCTCTTGTGACTGGCTAAACAATATATATTTTTAATTATTAAGTAATACCTCAGTTTACATGTCTGTAGTCTGCTTTTCTAGCTAATATAACAATCATCTATAATATTTATATTTGATATATTTTTCTTTAAAATGCACTTAAAATTCATCCATTTTTTAAGTTAGAGTCAGTCATGTGAAAGTCAGTATACAAAACCTCAAAATGTAAAATTGCAGACCTAAAAGGCAAATGAACCTTTAATCGCTTCATTTAAAAGATTAGGAGAAAGAACATTGCAGGCCTGGTGTGTGAATTTCTTGTTCCCTTTACAGACATTTTCGACCAAATAATCATTAAATGCTCTGTTAAACTGTTCTAGTTTACAGCACATATTCCTAGTTTGTTGGAGCTCTACATCTGCAGATATGCACTGAGAATACCCACACCGCCACTGTACAACCAAGTTGCCAAATAAATTGGTCCCTAACCAATAAAGCACCTAAGGGAATTTAAGTCTTAAAGCTTTACTCAGTCATGTGCAGAATAAAGATCATAAAAAGGCCCCAAAGCTTTAATATGTGGGTTTGAAAATAATCTTCTTAGGTATGTGCTTTATGCAAGCATTCCTGTTAGCATTTCCCCATTAATATTTTTCTGTTGCACACTTTCACGTTAAAATACATAGGAGAAAGATCATCCAAAGAACTTTGCAGACATTAAATTTAAATTTTTACTTCTTTATCAAATTTACTACTACATTTTACTTAAAAGAAATACATACACAGCATCATGACTATCATTTTAGATATATTTGCATAGATAACAGCAAAATATTTTTGGCAGATAAAATCAAAAGTTATGAGCACAATGTATGAAACAGAATAATACTGCCTCATTTCTATAAAAAAGAATTATCTCTCTTAACTTTAAATGTAAAACATGTTTCTCTCATTCTCTCTTGGTGATTTTTTTATTGGCTGCTCAAATAAAATCAGCTAGAAGAATTTAGAGTCCTAAAGTAAAAACTGCCAGTATGGTAACTCTTCTATACATTAACCCAGTGGAATGTTCAAGTTACCTTTATCTGTGTGTAAGTGACACACATTATCATTTAATTCTTACTAGTCTATAAAGATGTCAGTATGTAGTTACTACCGTCATTTCATGGGTGCAAGGTTGATCCTGATGTTTGAATTCTCTAAAGTAAAATTTTATTACATCAGGCCTATATATGACCTGCAGGCTTGTGAGTTAGAGAAAAGTCATAAATTGGTCCCTATTAAACTATTATATAGAATCAGTATCAGTATTAGGATTGGGAAACAGAAACTCCTTTGAAATTCCAGCAGGAAGTGACGAAATACAAACTAATGGCTCCTTCCAAACTACAAGAAGACCAGAAAGAGCAAGGTCAAGGAAAATAACCTCTAGCTTTTAGGTTTGGCAAGTACAGCCTTACGTACTACAGAAAATTACTACCAATGGTCAGAGCTACTGTCAAGGGTTTCGTGCAGAAACATCGGCAGTTTCTTTAATACACGAATACACTAAACTTTCTTTAATACACAAACACTACACAGTATCCTCTCTCTGTGTTTTGCTGGGGAAGAAGAAAAATGGCTTTTTTCTTCAGCTGTCCAACCTTGTGCAAGAAGCCCTCAATAGTAGAATCTAAGCAAAATTTGTCTGCCAAAAGATTCTGGGAAATGTGACTCCAAGTCTTCCTGTGACTACACAACAGAGAGTGTAAAAATATGTTGCACTCATTAAGTGTTGCCAACAGGCAATCAGGAAAGCCTTCCCAGAAAACATATATCAAATTCCTATCACAGGGCTGGACATAGCAAAATGTAAAATATAATGATGTAGTGGTTGAAAGTCCTGGCTCTAGATATGAATCTGCCACTTTCCACTTGTGTGATCTTGGGCAAGTGTTGTAATTTATCTATGCTTAATTTCCTCTTCTACAAAACGTGAATATTACTATCTGCCACATTGTGTTGCTGGGATGTTAATGTGCATTTAGACAGTGACTGAACACTTAGTAAAATATCTAAACATGTTAGAAACATTAATATTGCTTTTGTTTATTATCATCATTACTATTAACATGAAGTTTTTTTTTTCTAAGCAGAAAAATTTGTGTTCCTTTTCTGCTAATGCCATGTTTTTTCACTATGGTTTATATCTTCAATACTGGGAGGAATTTTTCTGCTGTGATTAGTCCTCCTCATGTTTTTTGCCAAAGTTTTGCAGCTCATCTCTGCTCTTTTTTCCAGCTAGCACATAACTGTTATTTTCCCCTTCACCACTAAAATCTAAGGTTAGTGTTGAGATACCATCATTTTTTTTCATCATCTACTTACTTTAAACCTCCGATACGGTCTCAAAGAATATTCTTCTATTGAAACTCTATCCCTTCTTTCTCAATTCTTTTTGACTTTTTAATTTTTAAATTTCAAACTCTTTCTAATAGTTTATGTCACTTAATTTGTGTAATCTTATTGTTTTTTTATTGAACATCAATGATTTTCAGAGAACAAGATTCTGAAGATATACAATGAAACACTATTTCCCTTCCTTAAGTAGTTTAAATTCTAGTGAGGAGATGACTTTGTAAACAATTTTAATATATAAAGAATATAAGCAAATTGAGGGGAAGGTAAAATAAAGGAAGGACTACATTTAGATAGAATATTAAGTTCTGGATTTCTCATGCTACAATTTGAAGGATGAGTTATATTAACATATACATAGGTTTCAAATGAAGGGAAGGTAGTGATGCATGTTCTCTTTGGGCACTGTAACTTCTGGCCCACTTTTCTTCCTCATGAGTGTGAATTTACTTAACATCAATTCTTGCCACTGCTACTTACTTTCTCTTCTAAATCTCAGGATTTATCAACACTTTGTTGATATTACAAATGTGGATAACAAATCTGGACATGAACCTCTCATTGTTACTGAATATCTTCCTAGGGAACTTACTAATTCTGCTCATGTGTCAAAGGAATTACTTAAAGAAAACAATATACAAAGATTGGTTGTCTGCTCATGTTACTGTATTAATTTACATGTGTTTTAAATAAAGTCTATTTTGATCAAAGCTCTTACAATTTCTCGAGTGTCCCACAGACCAGGTGTTAGTCTTTATTTGTATCTGTACTCATCTGTTCTTTTTCTCCCCATATATTCTTTACCAACATTTAGACCTTTGTGCTATTGGTTATGGTTAGCATGTTCTCAGTAAATGCATGTTGAATTGAAGTCTAACATAATAGTGTGGCCTTTCTATGAAAGACATAAGAATTAACATAAGGAAACCAACACTCTATCTTATGTTAGGCCATAACAAATATTATTGCAATTATCTGAACAATTAAAATACCCGTGATTAATATTTGAATATCTCAGGAGAAAGTTGTATATACATCATTTTGAGCTCTAAATGAAATTGTTTAAGTTTGCTTAAGTGCTCCCATTCTTCCCTACACATTCGAAAACATGTCTTCATAAGAAAATGTTCTCCTTTTTAGGGTCATAGATTTAAGCACCTTTTCATATGTCTGTTTGATTTTATGATGCCTGGCTTATTGCTCTTCAAATAATAATCTCTAGTTTTAAATAATTTCATTTTGAAACAATTTCAAATTTACAAATGTGTTGCAAAGATAGTACAAAATAGCTTCATATACCTTTTGTTCATATTACCCAAATATTACCATTCGACATTTGTTCTTTCAATTTACCATACATTTTTATTTATAGTAAAGTCTATGCCTATAGCTGTACCAGTCTACCTATACATACATACACACAGTTTTTTTTTTCTGAAAGCTTTGAGAGAAAGTTGAAGGCATGTTGCCACTTTACCCCTCAATATATAGATGCTCCTCAACTTATAATGAAGTTACATCCCAATAAAACAATCGTAAGTTGAAAATTTGTAAATTAAAAAAAGCATTTAATACACTTAATCCACCTGACAGCATAGCTTAGCCTAGCCTGCCTTAAACATGCTCAGTACACTTACATTAGCCTACAGTTGGGCAAAATCATGTAACACAAAGCTTATTTTATAATAAAATTTTGAATATCTCATATAAGAGTATCATACTGCATATACTTAGCCAGAGAAAAGATAAAAGTTTGAAATTTGAAGTGTGGTTTCCACTGAATGTGTATTGCTTTAGCACCATCATAAAGCTGAAAAATTTTTAAGTTGAGTCATCATCAGTTGGGAACCATTTATATTTGTGTTTATTTTTGTTTTAAATAAAAGGGCATTATCTCGCATACCCATAGTGGAGTTACCAAAAATCAGGAAATTGATAGTGTAGTATATTAACATTTTCCAGTTGTCACAATAATGTTCTTTGTCTGTTCAAGAATCAGCCCAGGATTAGTCATTCTGTTTATTTGTCATGTCTCTTCTGTGTCTTTTATGTGCTTTAATCTGAAACAGTTCTTCAGTCTTTGTCTACCCTGACACTAAAACTTTTGTAAAAAGTCCTTCAGTTTGGATTTGTAGGGTATTTCTTTGTGATTAGTTTTTTTCTACCAATTAACCATCCCCACCTTCCCCCTGATCCTTCACTACTCTTCCCAGCCTCTGGTAACCATCCTTCTATTCTCTATCTCTGTGGGTTCAATTGTTTTCATTTTTAGATCCTACAAATAAGTGAGAACATGTGATGTCTGTCGTTTCGTGCCTGGCTTATTGCACTTAACATAATGATCTTCAGCTCCATCCATGTTGTTGCAAATGACATAATCTCATTTTTTATGGCCGAATAGTACTCCATACTGTATATGTACCAACTTTTCTTTATTCATTCATCTGTACATGGACACTTAGGTTGCTTCCAGATCTACTGTAAATAGTGCTGTAGCAAACATAGGAGTGCATATATGTCCTCAATATGCTGATTTCCTTGCTTTTGGCTATATACTCAGCAGTGAGATTGCTGGATCACACAGCAGCTCTGTTTTTAGGTTTTTAAGGAACCTCCAAACTGTCCTCCATAGTGGTTGTACTAATTTACATTCCCACCAACAGTATATGAGGATTCTCTTTTATCCACATTCTTGCCAGCATTTGTTATAGCCTGACTTTTGGATAAAAGCCATTTTAGCTGGAGTGAGATGACATCTCATTGTAATTTTGATTTGCATTTCGCTGAAGATCAATGATGTTGAGCACCTTGCCTGTTTGCCATTTATATGTCTCTTTATGTGTCTGTTTTTATGCCAGTACCATGCTGTTTTCGTTACAGCAGTTTTGGTAGTATAATTTGAGGTCAGGTAATGTGATTCCTCCAGTTTAGTTCTTTTTGCTGAAGACAGCTTTGGCTATTCCGAATCTTTTGTGATTTCATATAAATGTTTGGATTTTCTTTCTAATTCTGTGAAGAGTGTCATTTGTATTTTGATAGAGATTGTATTGATCTGTAAATTGCTGTAGGTAGTATGGACATTTTAACAATATTGATTTTTCCAATTCAGGAACATGGAATCTTTTCCCATTTTTTTGGTGTCCTCTTTAATTTCCTTGAACAGTGTTTTATAATTTTTTTATTATAGAGATCTTCCACTTCCTTTGTTAATTCCTAGGTATTTAGTTTTATGTGAGGCTATGATAAATGGGAATACTTTTTTGATTTCTTTTTCAGATTGTTCACTACTGGCATATAGAATACTGCTGATTTTGTATCCTGCAACTCTAATTAATTTATCAGCTTTAATAGTTTTTTGGGAAAGTCTTTAGGTTTTTCCAAATATAAGATCATACAACCTGCAAATGAGGATAATTTGACTTATTCCATTCCAATTTCGATTCCCTGTATGTGTTTCTCTTGTCTGATTTCTCTAGTTAGGACTTCCCCTACTCTGTTGAATAACAGTGGTGAAAGTGAGCATCACTGTCACATTGCAGGTCTTAGATAAAAAGGTTTGTTTTTCAGATTTTCCCCATTCAGTGTGATACTAGTTGTGGGTCTGTCATATATGGCTTTTATAATGTTGAGGCATGCTTCTTCTATACTTTGCGGGTTTTTATCTTGAAGGGATGTTGAATTTCATCAAATTCTCTTCAGCATCAACTGAAATAATCATATGGTTTTTATCCTTCCTTCTATTGACATGATGTTTCACACTGATTGGTTTGCATATGTTGAATCATCCTTTTATTGCAGGGATAAATCCCACTTGGTCATGATGAATGATTGTTCTAATGTATTATTGAATTCATTTTGCTAGTATTTTGTTGAAGATTTATTCATCAATAATCAATATTAAACAGAGAAACTGGTCTATAGTTTTCTTTTTTGATGTGTCTTTGTCTGGTTTTGGTTTCAGGGTAATACCGCCTTCATAGAATGAGTCTGGAAGTATTTCATCCTCTATTTTTCAGAATAGCTTGAGTAGGATTGGTATTAATTCTTCTTTAAATGTTTGGTGGAATTCAGTAGTGAAGCCAGTGGGCTGCAGGCTTTTAATCACTGAGAGAATTTTATTACTACTTCAGTCTCATTACTTCGTATTGATCTGTTCAGGTTTTTGAATTATTCTGGGTTCAATCTTGGTAGGTTGTACATGTCTAGGAATGTGTCTATTTCTTCTGGATTTTCCAATTTATTGGCATATAATTGCTCATAGTAGACACTAATGATCCTTTGGATTTCCGCATTATCTGTTGTAATGTCTCCTTTTTTATTTCTGATTTTATTTATTTAGATATTCTCTTTTTTTGTTACTCTGGCTAATGGTTTGTCAATTTTGTTTAACTTTTCAAAAAAACAACTTTGGTTTATTGGTCTTTTATATTGTTCTTCATTTCTATTTTATTTATTTCTGTTCTGGACTTTATTATTTCTTTTCTTCTAGTAATTGCTTTTCTTGTTCCTTAAGATGAATCATTAGATTGTTTTTTGTTTCCTCCTTCTTTGATGTAGGTACTTACAGCTATAATCTTCCCTCCTCCTACGGCTTTTGCTGTATCCTATAGGTTTTGGTATGTTGTATTTCCATCGTCATTTGTTTCAAGAACTTTTTAAATTTCTGTCTTAATTTCTTCATTGACCCACTGGTACTTCAGAAGCATATTGTTTAATTTACATGTGTTTGTATAGTTCCCACAATTTCTTTTTTTATGCATCTCTAGTTTTATTCCATTGTAGTCAGAGAAGGTGCTTGATATTATTCCAGTGTTTTTGAGGTTTTAAGACTTGTTTTGTGATTTAACATGTAGTTTTTCTTTGAGAATAATCCATTTGCTGAGGAAAAGAATGCGTACTCTGCAGCTCTTGGATGAAATGTTCTGTATTTATCTATTAGATCCGTTTGGTCTATACAGCAGATTAAGCTTGATGTTTCTTTTCTTTTTTCTTTTTTTATTTTTTTGAGATGGAGTCTCACTCTGTCACTGAGGCTAGAGTGCAGTGGCACTGTGTCAGCCCACTGCAACCTTCGTCTCCAGGGTTCAAACAATTCTCCTGCCTCAGCCTCCCAAGTAGCTGGGATTACAGGCGCCCACGACCGTCTAGTTTTTATATTTTTAGTAGAAACAGAGTTTCACCATGTTGGCCAAGCTGGTCTTGAACTCCTCACCTCAGGTGATTAACCCGCCTTGGCCTCCCAAAGTGCTGGGATTACAGGCGAGGGCCACCACGCCTGGCCAAGCTTTATGTTTTTTTATTGATTTTCTGTATGGAAGATCTGTCCAATGCTGAAAGTTAGGTGTTGAAGTCTCCAGATATTATTTTATTGGGCCTCTCTCTTTAGCCCTAATAATATTTCCTTTGTATATCTGGGTGTTCCAGTGATGGGTGCATATATATTTAAAATTGTGATATCCTCCTGCTGAATTAATGCCTTTATCATTATATAGTCACTTTCTTTGTCTCTTTTTATAGTTTTTGTCTCGAAATCTATTTTGTCTGATATAAGTTTGGCTACTCCGGTTCTTGTTCAGTTTCCATTGGCATAGAAAATCTTTTTCCATCCCTTTATTTTCAGGCTATGTGTGTATATATGGGTGATGAGTGTTTCTTGTAGGGAACAGATCAATGGGTTTTGTTTTTTTCATTCATTCAGCCACTGCATGTCTTTTAATTGAAGAATTTCATATAGTTAACTTCAGTGTTATTATTGATAAGGAAGGACTAACTCCTGCCATTTTGTTATTTGTTTTCTGGCCTTCTTTTAATTCTTTCTGTCTTCCTTTACTGAAGGTGATGTTCTCTGGTGATATAATTTAGTTTCTTGCTTTGTGTCTGTTTACCCATTGTATGATTTTTGGTTTGGGGTTACCATGAGGCTGCTAAATACTACCTTAAAACCCACTATTTTAACCTCATAACAACTTAATGCTGTTTGAATAAACCAACAAATAAAAAAACGAAAATAATACAAACTCTACATCTTAACTTCACTCCCTGCTTTTTTTCTCAAAATGTAATAAGGTCAAATCCCTCTAACAAATGCCTTCTTACATATATGAAAGATTCTGTTTGAACTCTGACTTATTTTTTCTCTTATAAAACACAGATTTCTTGAAGTCATTTATTTTTTATTTATTTTTCACCATCTTCATTCACCTGAAATGCTACAATGTGCATGGTTTTATTAAATAAATAAAATTATTGTCTTATATAAGGGAAGCAAGGTTTTAAGCTAATGTTTTAGAAATCATGTATTCCCTCACACATGTGCCAAACTTAGATACAACTTATTCCAAATATTCCCACTAAATTTTATGCAATTCTCAAAATACTCACCCACTCCAGCTCCCTCCAAACCTTAAAGTAATATGGCAAATACATATCTCACATATTGGTGTTGAGATTTTTAGTCAGCAGATCATTATGTCCTGTTATTTGAATAAATTACAATGTTATTAAACTTCCTTGGTCTAGATTTCATTTCAACCATTTCTTTATGCATTTATTTTGTAGCTAAGTGATGTACTGGGTGGACTATAAGTGCCTTTCTTGTTCTTAAAAAAGAAAAAAAAAACCCACAGCCTAACTCTAAATATGTTGCACTCAAGATAATGGATTTACCTTATCTCAGAATTTAAGTGATAGAATGGTTCCAAAGAGAGAACTTGGAATTTGTTAAGTTAGAAACAAAAAATGTTAATTATATGTAATTTAAGAAATTATACCATTAGAAGAAATATTTTACCTACTTGCAGTTATTAAAGCAATTAACTTAGAAAACTTTAAACTGGAAAACAGTTTTCAAATGTTTTGATGTCAAATTTATTCAAATCTTATATTTTAAAAAGCATCTAAAATTAGTTACATAATATAAATATGGAGCAAAGATATCAAGCATACCAGTAATGCTTGCTGAATACGTTCATATATATGTATGTGTGAGTGTATGTATATACACATATACATTCTTATATATACAGTTATATCTACAGTTGACCCTTAGACAGCACAGGTTTGAACTGCATGGGTCCGTTTACACCTGGATTTTTTGCAACCAAAGGCAGATCGAAAATACACTATTCAGACGATATAAGATCTGCACATAAGGAGGGCCAACTTTTCATATATATGGTGTCACAGGGTTGACTACAGCACTTGACTATGCACAAGTTTGGGTATATGCAGGAGTCCTGGAAGCAGTCCCCCTTTATACTGAGGAATGACTCTATGGACATATCCTAATTCCTAGAACTTGTTAATTTGTAATGTTACATGACAAAGGAAAATTAACATTGCAGGCAGAAATAAGTGTGCTAATCAACTGACCATATAATAGGGAGAAAATCCTGAATCATCTAGGAGACCCAATATAATCCCAAACATTGTTGAAAGTGGAGTATGGTGGCAGAAGAATTCAGAGTCGAATGTAGAGGCAAGGAAGGAAAAATGGTCATAGAAATGGATTGTTGTTGGCTTTGAAGATTGTGGGTTGATAGGGAAGTAATGTGGCTAGTCTCTAGAAGCTGAAACAGGCAAGAAAATGGATTTTCCCCAGAGTTTCCAGAAAAGAATGTAGCCCTGCCAATAGCATCTTCCTTTTAACCAAGTGAGTTGTATGTCAGATGTCTTACCTACAGAACTATGAGATGATTAATCTGAGTTGGTTTAAATCACCAAGTTTGTGATCATTTCTTATAGCATACATACACATTTTCAAAACATTTTTGAAAATCTATTTTCATAACAATTTCATATAATACACAAATATTACATCAAGCTTCTTTTGTTCTTGGTGAAATCTATGCTTTTTACATACAATATTGTGAAAAGACTACCATAGGTTTGGTAAGTACGCCACCTATTAGTAAATTAAGTACCTAGCCAAATTCTATCTTTTCAGTAATGAAGCTGTTATAAACACATTTTCTCTAATATTTTTATCGTATTTCAATTTAATTTAGATATGTTGTTTTCTAAAATATTTACAAAACTATCAAAATGCATGTATTTTTGCTAAAAATATTATCTCTTGTGAAATTCCAATTTTTGACATTTACTTTGCCCATTTTAGTAGTTTACTTTAAATTTAACAACAAAAATTTATTATAAGGACAATAACCAGTTTGTTAATTACTAACTACATGAATATATACTCTTGATTATATAGTTGTCACTATGCTAAACTTTGGGAATGTAAAAGCAAATAATAAACAGTATCCATCCTTAAAGTCCTCAAAATTTAGTAAAACTAGCTACATTTAGTAACATTGATCAAAACCGTGGACACAAAAAAACCATGGTAGTGAAACAGGAGAAAGGACCAATTCTGGGTGAGATTTAGTGGAGGCTTACTCATAAAATATTGAAAGTCAGGCAGGAATTCTCCAAGGACATCAAGAGAATAAAAGCTTTTACATTTTACTCATTAATTCATTAAACAAATATTTATTGGGTAATTCATATGTAATAACATTGTTCTAGGAGCTAGGATTATGTCATCAACAAAACACAAAAAAATCCCTGATCTCAAGGAATATAGTCTAGGGGGCATTTAAAGATCAGGGAGTGAAAATGTTTTAATAAAGAATTGGAGGTTATGGTAATGAATAATGAAAGCAAGCAAATCCATCAGGTCTAATAATTGTAAACAAGGTACAAAATTGAATGCACATGACAAAAATTACAAGTGGGGGGCTAGTTATTTATAATAAAATAATACAACAAAAACTACTCTGCATCTAAAACCCTATCTTTACTAATGAACTCAATATAGTGTATGAGCAGGCAAATGGTTGGAGAATAATTTAAATCAGGCTCTGCTCTTCACCTAATGTAACATGCTTATCTCAAAATATACTGTTATTCTTTTATTATTATTATTATTATACTTTAAGTTTTAGGGTACATGTGCACAATGTGCAGGTTAGTTACATATCTATACATGTGCCATGCTGGTGCGCTGCACCCACTAACTCGTCATTTAGCATTAGGTGTATATCCCAATGCAATCCCTCCCCGCTCCCCCCAACCCCACAACAGTCCCCAGAGTGTGATATTCCCCTTCCTGTGTCCATGTGTTCTCATTGTTCAATTCCCACCTATGAGTGAGAATATGCGGTGTTTGGTTTTTTGTTCTTGTGATAGTTTACTGAGAATGATGATTTCCAATTTCATCCATGTCCCTACAAAGGACATGAACTCATCATTTTTTATGGCTGCATAGTATTCCATGGTGTACATGTGCCACATTTTCTTAATACAGTCTATCATTTTTGGACATTTGGGTTGGTTCCAAGTCTCTGCTATTGTGAATAGTGCCACAATAAACATACGTGTGCATGTGTCTTTATAGCAGCATGATTTATAGTCCTTTGGGTATATACCCAGTAATGGGATGGCTGGGTCAAATGGTATTTCTAGTTCTAGATCCCTGAGGAATCACCACACTGACTTCCACAATGGTTGAACTAGTTTGCAGCAGCACATCAAAAAGCTTATCCACCATGATCAAGTGGGCTTCATCCCTGGGAAGCAAGGCTGGTTCAATATACACAAATCAATAAATGTAATCCAGCATATAAACAGAACCAAAGACAGAAACCACATGATTATCTCAATAGATGCAGAAAAGGCCTTTGACAAAATTCAACAACCCTTCATGCTAAAAACTCTCAATAAATTAGGTATTGATGGGACATATCTCAAAATAATAAGAGCTATCTATGACAAACCCACAGCCAATATCATACTGAATGGGCAAAAACTGGAAGCATTCCCTTTGAAAACTGGCACAAGACAGGGATGCCCTCTCTCACCACTCCTATTCAACATAGTGTTGGAAGTTCTGGCCAGGGCAATTAGGCAGGAGAAGGAAATAAAGGGTATTCAATTAGGAAAAAAGGAAGTCAAATTGTCCCTGTTTGCAGATGACATGACTGTATATCTAGAAAACCCCATTGTCTCAGCCCAAAATCTCCTTAAGCTGATAAGCAACTTCAGCAAAGTCTCAGGATACAAAATCAATGTACAAAAATCACAAGCATTTTTTTTTTTTTGAGACAGAGTCTCGCTCTGTTTCCCAGGCTGGAGTGCAGTGGCGCCATCATCTCTGCTCATTGCAAACTCCACCTCCTGGGTTCACGCCATTCTCCTGCCTCAGCCTCCCCAGTAGCTGGGACTACAGGCGCCCGCCACCACGCCCGGTTAATTTTTGTGTATTTTTAGTAGAGACGGGGTTTCACCGGATTAGCCGGATGGTCTCGATCTCCTGACCTCGTGATCCACCCACCTCGGCCTCCCAAAGTGCTGGGATTACAGGCGTGAGCCTCTGCTCCTGGCCAATATACTGTTATTCTTATTAGATTTATTTTCATTCATTTGTTCACCAGTTTCTTCTTTATATAATTACTATGTACAAGAGCTATGCTTTTAAAGGACAGCATCTATATTTTTTTTAATTTTTCCAAATAAAAGTTTTCACTGAGAATACAATTCTTTGGTCATGCAGTGTAGCATTTTTATTTTTAGCATTATCTGTAGATGTAAGTAAGGGATAAAACTAACTCTTTTTTTTCCAGCACACACACATACACACACAGGAAGATACAAGAAGAGAGAGAGAGAGAGAGAGAATGAACACAAGCAAAGTGTTGACAATTGATAAGACTTTGAAAAAATATATCTGAAATATTGTACTATGTTTTATCATCTATTGTTCAATATAAAATGTTTCCAAATAAATATGTATCTAATAATAGATAAACATAAACATAGGGCAGTGATGGGCTACAGAGGACGTATTTAAGATGATTGAAAGCCGAACGTGCCCTAGTTAGGCTGCTGTGGTGCAGAGAAGCATATGGTCTTCTTCAAGGATCCAGGGCTGGGGACCGCCACACAGATGCAGCACAAACACAAAAAGGCAAAAGACCAAAAAGAGAAAAATGGAATATGGTGTGAAAACTGTGGACTAAGAGATCTAAGTCAAATAAAGAGAGGAGGGAATAAAAAATGAGGCTAATGAATTCAGAAATTGTTAAAACTGAGAATTCTGGGGCTGGAAAAGAACAAAATATATGAAAATAAGTATATGAACAACCCAAAAGGAAAAAAAGATTGTGTTGAAAAGAACCCCCCCCAAAAAACATACTTGTTTAATATTATTATGAGTAACCTCTGAGTAGTTATTTCAAAATACCAGTCTCTGCATTTCAAAGAATAAATTAATATTAAAATATAACCATTAATAGTCTGTTAGACAGGATGTCAGTTATAGTCCTAGGCTTTATCTGCAGTGTTTTGGTTTTTTTAACTGTTGTTGTTGTTAGGTAACCAGTACTTTCAATAATCATTTTCTATTCATAGTTTTGGAGAATTTTGAACCATTCTTTTTTAAACAGTATGCTCTTAGAATGATGTCTCAGATCTTTAATATTTCAATATCAGAGGTCTTTGATACATATTTCCTTCCCCCCAAAAAAAGAAAAAAAATCTGTCACTTTTGAAACAGTTATCTTTAATCAAATATGACCTAAAAGGCCAGTTGAAAAGTTGAATTATTTAAGATATTTAGTCAACTGTCTGTATAGCATTAATATTAAGACTCATAAAAGCTTCATGAAGAGTGAGTCAAAGATACTTATAGTTCAGCTGTATAATTTTACATTATACTTATTAACATATGAAAAAAGTAATGGAAATTGATTATATTGAAACTAAGTCATGTAAAAGATATTTTGATGTTTGAATGTTTAAGTGAGCAGTTTCTTCATTGTTTGTATTACCATTATTTAATGCCACTGTATGTACCTGCAATTGTTATGGAGAATATCAATGTAACATTGTCTTTTCATTAGCGTGCAGTTTATTAACATTGAAAGTCACAATATAGATCAGTTATTCTGAAGACTGTAGATATAAATGAGAGAATAAGATCATCTTTATTATGTAGACATATAAAATAAATCTGCAAGTAAGAGTTGGAGTCAAATACAGGTTATTATTCACATTGAAGACCAATGATGATTTCAGTCATTTGGTCCCTTATATTTGAAAGAATAACAGTTAGAGACAAATATACTGCAGCACAAATACTTTGAAATTGAATATGGAATTATGTATATGTGCGCATGTATTTTTCTCCTACATAAAAAGGTATATAAAATGTATCTTATTTAGAAAAGATTCCTAGCACCCCAAATTTTAAGTTTTCCGCATTTCCTGAGATTCTCTTTAAATATTAACTTCAGAAGGAAAAATTTTGCCCATTTGGTTATGGCAGAATAATCCCACGCTAAATTTTAAATAAACTTTACATTTATTTTAAGTGCATTTATTTTAATTAAATCTCTTTGTCCACAAACTGGTGAGAGAACATGGATTGACTCACTGTTCACTTATGCCTATTGAAGGAATAAGCACTAATGCAGAAAATAGGCTGCTGCCTGCATAAATAATTCAGAAAGCAGTGAAAAAAATCTTCTAGAAAATACTCAGTTTTCAACATTCGCTCTCTGTCTCTCTCACACACACACAGAGGCACACATACACACACACGCATTTTCTTTATTTTTGAATATCATTAAATTATGATAGACATTTCTAAGGTAACCTGGCAACTTGGTGTTTTTAGTTACAATTACATAGGATCAAATTTCAGTTGGTTGCTGAACAGCACTGTCGAATCAGTGCAAATGTCTAACTGATTTGAATGGGTTTTGGTTAATACTCTGTCCTAGGACTTTTGAACTGAATTTATCAGAGCCAACACAAGATAACCTAAAAGTCTCAAATTAACAAATTTCACACCAAGTATTCTAAATGATTGTGCTATTAAAATATTACTAAAAGCAATTACATTTGGTGTTTGTAAAAAGCTAAAATACCCAGCAGATGAGTAAAGTTTCTGCTCTTTATGTTCGAGCATTATTAATCAACTTATTTTTCTGTCCAAGGTGTTCTTGACAATCCCCATTAAATTATAAGTCTTAATCAATTCACAAATTATAGTTCTATTCATGTCATTAAACCAATATTTTATGCTGCTTTTTGTTAGTATCATGGAGATATTTACAAGTCCAGGCAGATGAATGAGGATACAGGACACAATGAATTATAATGTGTCCTTGGATGATTTTCTAAGGAAAGAAGAGAGCCTTGGAAGGGTGCTATATGTGAAGCTGAGAGGATCAGGTTACCATTGCTCTCTGCTAGACTCAGATTAATTTATTCAAATATAATAAAGCAGAACCCTTAAAACAGAGACATTGTTAAAGAATAGCCGGTATTACTCTTTTTGTATTTTTTAAAGTAACTCGTGAGGATAGATTTTATAATTGAGACATATATTTGTATATTTAAATCTAAAGCCATTATTTTTATGGCAAGTTCATATTCATATGAAAAATGGTGTTTTGATAAAAATTATAACTGCCATAAATTAAGCATGTAATACATGTATTTTAAATATATTGTTTTTGCTTTATTTCTTTGTTTTTGTTTTATTTATTCTACCTTGCCTCATTCTATGTTCATTCTGGTTTATTAAGCATATTTTGCTACTCAGTAGACATAGTGCCCTTAGAGAACATATATAACATTTTAATCATAGTATTATATAAAAATAGAATGTACTGTTTATTTTGGAATTTAAGCATTCTCTCTATATATACTACACTATTTCTTTGCCAGATTGTGCCTTTTTCTGTTTTATTTTTCCTAGTATTAATTTTTGTTTTATTTAGGTATAAAATCCACTCTTTTAACGTATATAATTCAATGGTTGTTAGTATATTCACGAAGTTGTCCAACTGTCACTACTACCCAATTCCAGAACAATTTCATACTCTCCAAAGCACTCCCATACCCATTAGCAGCCTCCCTTCTGCCACGGAGGCAACCACTAAACTACTTTCTGTCTCTGTGGATTTGCCCATTCTGGACATTTCATATAAATGAATTTATAAAATATGCAGCCTCTTGTGTTTGGCTTCTTTTATTTAGCATAATGTTTTCATAGCTCATCCATGTTGTAGCACATATTACAACTTTAATTTTTTTGATGCCTGAGTAATATTCTACTGTATGGCTGTATTATATCTGTTTATCCACCTATTAACTGATGTACATTTGGTGCTATTTCCACTTTTTAGCTATTATGAATAATTCTGCCAAGAATATTCACATTAAAGTTTTGTTGTAAACATAAATTTTCAATTTCTTGCTTATATACCTCAGAATGAAATTGCTGGGTCATGTAGTATCTTCATATTTAACTTTCTGAGGCACTCCCAAATTGTTTCCAAAACACTTGTGCCATTTTACATTCCCATCAGCAATGCATGAGGTTTCCAATTCTGCATACTCTCACTGATACTCCTTATTTCTGTCTAGTATTAGCTTTTTACAAGCCAAAATTTCATACATCTTTTCTTTCTTCAATTCTTTTTTTTGCGACAGAATCTCTCTCTGTCGCCCAGGTTGGAGTGCAGTGGCGCGATCTCGGCTCACTGCAAGCTCCGCCTCCCGGGTTCACGCCGTTCTCCTGCCTCAGCCTCCCAAAGTGCTGGATTACAGGCGTGAGCCACTGCGCCCGGCCTTTTTCTGCTTTTTTTTCTCAGTGAATACAATTCAAATATGTTCTTACTACCTCTTCTTTTCTCCTTCCCCTTTTCTTTCTCATCCTCTTTTTCTTCCTCTTCTTCTTCTTTAGCGAATTTCAATACTTTACAGTAGACTGAGCTCTTTAGTAAGTACCCCAAACTGTATTATCTTATTGAATATACACAATTTACTTTTAAACTTTTAAAAATTGTAATTATTATGGATACATACTAGTCATACATGTTTATGGAGTGTGTATGATATTTTTGTACAAGCATACAATGTGTAACGGTCAAATTAGGCCAATAAGGGTATCCATCTCCTCAAGAATTTATCACTTGTTTGTGTTAGGAACATTCCAGTTCTACTCTTCTAGTTATTTTGAGATATACAATAAATTATTGTTAACTCCAG
The DNA here is from genome assembly GCF_000001405.40 of Homo sapiens. Lineage (NCBI taxonomy): Eukaryota > Metazoa > Chordata > Mammalia > Primates > Hominidae > Homo > Homo sapiens. The sequence continues at coordinate 57,202,126 of NC_000010.11, forward strand.
TTGCCATATTGTGCTACCAAACAGTAGATCTTATTCCTTCTATCTAAGTGTATTTTTGTACCTATTAATCATCCCTTTTATAACCTCTTATGACAGATATTATTAGCCCCATTGAAATAATAGATCATACTAGATGAAAAACCTAACACAGAAAAAGCTCAAAAACTTTCCCAAGAATATACAGGTGTTTTGTGGTAAAACTTGGACTTAAACTTTTCCAGCTTCCAGAGAGCATATTTTAATCTCCATTTCCCATTCTCACATTTTCATTCTTTCTTTGTGATTTTCCTTCTGTAATGACTCTTTCCTGCTGATAAGCAACCTCTTGAAACTCCTATATCACACCTTCCCTGACACCTTCTGTAGCACAGAAAAACATACTGAGAGCTGTATGCAGCAGATCCAGAGCCTCCATCTGTGGAATGTGAGTTTCCTCAGAGCCTCAGTGCAGAAGGAAGAGGATTTCTTTCTACTCTGGAAGGATTCCTCAGCTCCGCTGTGAACTAGCTATTTGCCCAGCAGGCAGAATGGAAAACAGATTTCATCCAAACAAAAATATACACTATACAAATTTAATGTACTGTAATGAATGAGCTGTAGTAGCCTTCAAAAGTGGTGTATGTCTCTAAAATTTTTCACATTGCAAATATCAATTTTTAAATGCAAACCTTTAGAGAATATAATATTTATTTTATTGAGAACTTACTATACATTACATAACATGTTAAATGCTTTGCATAAATTATATGTCTCATCTTCTGAGGTAAGTTCATTATAAGGTATTACATATGCAAAAACTGAGGTATAAAGAGGTTACACAACTTGCCCAAATCTCATAGCTACAAAATCACTAAGATGGGACTCAATGTTAGGTCTCCATGATGACAAGGTCCATACATTCAATAGCTAATAAATATTATTTTCCAAAGTTAGGTGTACATTGCTAACCTCACAACCAATTTTTAAGTGACATGAAAGAAAAAAAAGATATCAAGGAGCTCAAATGTCTGATGTATTTATTTATTAGAAAGTGTGACTTTCTCCCAACATGTTATTTTATTTAAAATATACTATATAAGAAATATAAGAAGTTTGGCCAGGCATGGTGACTCACACCTGTAATCCCAGCACTTTTGGACGACGAGTCAGGAGGATCACTTGAGCCCAGGAGTTTAAGGTTACAGTGAGCTAGGATCGCACCACTGCACTCCAGCCTGGGTGACAAAGCAAGGCCATGACTTTAAAAATAATAATAAAAAGAAGAAAAAGAAATAAATATATGGATAAGCATGAAGAAAGGCCAACCTCTAGTTTTCTTTGGCTCCTAATGTCTAAATTAACACTAAATTCCTTAATATTTTAATAACTCATGTATACACGAGAATTAGACTTTTTTTGTTCTCATAATCTGCTATACAGATGAGAAGTGACATAAAATTCAACCTAACACTTTTGTGGGGAATTTTTCTCTGACAAGCTTTACCTCCTTTAAATCTCCCACTAGAAAATAATCATCTTGAATATTTTGTTTGTTACTTTACGTTATACATTACTTGAATAATTGTTACTTTATATTATGCATGTGATATGTTTTGACTCTATGTCCCCACCCAAATCTCACCTTGAATTGTAATAATCCCCAGATGTCATGGGAAGGGCCTGGTGGGAGGTAATTGAATCATAGGGGTGGATGTTTTTCCCCCTGCTGTTCTCGTGGTAATGAATAGGTCTCACAAGCTCTGATGTTTTTATAAAAGGGCAGTTCCCCTCCACACGCCCTCTTGCCTGCTGCCGTGTAAGACCTGTTGTGTCTTGCTTCCCCTTTGCTTTCCACCATGATTGTGAGGCCTTCCTCAGCCATGTGGAACTGTGAGTCAACTAAACATCTTTCCTGTGTAAATTACCCAGTATTGGACATGTCTTTATTAGCAGCCTGAGAACAGACTAACACAGTAAACAGTATTGTTGGGGGTCTAAAATTAATTATGTTTATGTATATAATTTAACCTAACCATTAATAGATAGTTAAAAGTGGTCACTTTTATTCAGCTGGAATTTGAAAAATTATGAGCACAAAAGAGCTTATTGGACAACACTGTAATTACTTGAGGTGCAATAAAGTCATATCTTCATATTTTTTACAACTCAATTAGAATTATCTTGCAGGTTAAAGAAACATATAAAATGGCAAACATTGTAAATATGAATGCTTTCAAATGTTATTTTGTGAAGAACAATAACTTTTACAGGGTCATCTTAGCTATTATTTATTAGGGAAATAAAACAGTCCAATACAATCTTGATTGTTTTTCTTAGTGCCAATGTAATTTTAATTGTGTCTCATTCAATAGAAATTAAAAGGCCCCAGTGATGGTTGAAAAAATCTACCCTTGAAACATTAATTGATCTTAGAAAAATACCATATTACATTTATCAAAATTCATTGTTTTCTTATATTTATGACCCACAAATAGAAGAAAATGAGAGAAATGTGTGAGCTACATGCAAGTCACTTTCTGAATGGTTTGGCAAACAGAAAAGAAACTGAATGGTTTGGCAAACTTACAAAAGAAAATCCATAAGCATTTTTGTTTTTTAACAGTAGCTATTAAAATGAATTTTATGCTTTGAAAAACAAGTTTTTCATGACAAATTACAAAACTTATTCAACTTCTAAATGGTCATTATTTTTAAAAATATGTAACGAGGTATTTTCAATTGTGAAATTTTACAAAGAGTAAAATCCATCCACATCCAACTCTTCAAAATGTGAAGACAAACACGTATGCCAACTAGATATGTCACCTCAAGATGATAATAAAGTGTCATATTTTTAAAAGAAAATAGGACAAATGACATAAAAACATTTTATACAATGAGAACAGTTGATCCCAAACAATTTTAACTGGCAAACTAATTCATATACTTTTGCTTCTGAGTGCTGGAAACTTTATCATAGCATGCGGTCTCTGTGCAGACTGGCATTTAGGATCTATATTTTCCTGTACCCCATAATCGATTGGAGATTTTCTTATTTTGCAGAATCATTCTACACTGGTTAGCTCATCTGTTGTTCGTCATTGAAAGTGAGGTTCTAAATGATAAGAACTCACTTTGAAATGGTGGTGAATTCTCCATATTAGCAAGGTTCTCAAGGGTAACATAAAAACCATGCAAAACATTACCATGTGTTTAATGTTTGTACATAAACTGCTGGTTAATTTCTTGTTTTAATCTGCATAGACATGATAAAAATCTGGTATTTCAATATTTACATTTTTATGTTTCACTTTTACCTAGAAATTTATCAATCCAATCAACATTGTCCAAGAATTAATATAACTAAAGATAAGTGAACATTTACAATCTCAGTCACAGAAGACATATTTCTTGAGCATGCTTTGTGCATGCCACAGTAAAAGAAAAGGTAAAACCATGTAAAACAGGTCACATATAAGAAATGTTGAAACACGAGTTTAGTTCTGTGGTGAAGTATAATAATGATTAGCCTTAACATAGAAATTTATAATAGTAAAGTATTATTCACATTTTGGCCACTTTTTTTGAAAAACAAATGAAATTATTATGGAAATTCAAACAAATTAATGTTTTCTGATAAATTTTAATTTCTATAACATATGTTCAAATAACTGGGATAGATGCTTGAACCAAACCCACTTTTTCGTATAATGTTTCTTATTTATAACATATTTTACAGAGTATAAAGGATTCATGCTGTATAAAATGCCAAATTACATATTATATACATATATATTCTGAGTTTATAAATTTTGTGTTTTGCATGTAGAACATAGGATATACTTCTTGCACCAAATGTCACTAATAAAATACAGCACAAACAAAAAAATGTGTTCTCTTTTAATACATTTAAAGCAGTTGGCATACAATTTAAAAGATGTTTGAAATCACAAATGAGAAAAAGGTGTTAATGAATTCAAATGTAAAATTACTGAGTAAAATTTCATATATTTATTTTTATTTATCTATTAATTGTGCTAAAATAAATCCTAGTTATCCAAATGTTTCCACCATCTCAAAAGCAGTAATTTGAAAATGGTATTAACACATATGCACACATTTCAGTTTTGAACTGGAATTAACATTTGAATATTATTTTCACCAATGATCACACATAGAGTAATGTTTAATTAGAAATAATGAAAAATAATCATTGAAAATTATTAAATAACAAAAAATGGCAGACCAGGACAAATGTCAGAGGACAAGTAAGTCTTAATTCTGCTGCTTTACATTTCAATATTCTCTTATCTCCTTGCAGTCTCTCAGAAATGTTTCATAATTTTATGTCACCAAATTATTTAAGTGTGGCGAAAGAGTGACTGTTACCTTTTCTTCTACCATCCCAAGTGTTGTTACATTGGTTTCATTGGTTTATACATTGATTTTGCTATTTTTGTAGTGCTTTATTTTTTTCCATGGAAAGAAGGGGATTTTTAAATGAAATTTGAGAAATAATAAAAACATTGTTGAAATAAAATTTACTGACTGTTAAATTAAATTGGTTCAGGCACTCAAGAAGCAGATGCTAAGATAGAATTTTTCATGTAAGGATTATGTTGGAGAAAAATACCTGTGAGGGATAAAGGACAGAGGGAGAAGAGAATAGGGCAAATATTGACTCTAAAATCCAGGTCTGACAGCTGAGAAAAAAAGAGAAGAAAGGAGAAGATTTTAAAAGTAGAAAGAGCCTGAGACTGTGGTGCATCTCTGAGAAAATGTTAGCCCGATTGGTAGAGATCAGTAGTTAGGCTGGATTTGGGAAGTGGAAATCCATGCTGTTAGACCAACCCATTCATAGCTTCCATCTTTGTCTAGAGATGCTAGAGAAACTGACCACAGGAGGCTCTCTGATGTGTATGTTCCCCATGAGAGCAGCAAGTCCTTCCCTGAGAAGCAATCTGGGTGTTACATCTTCACATCTACCAAGGATCGTTTCATAGAAGAGGAATTGCTAGTGAAAACCATAGCAGGCTGGGCGCGGTGGCTCACGCCTGTAATCCCAAGCACTTTTGGAGCCCAAGGTGGGCAAATCACAAGGTCAAGAGTTCGAGACCAGCTTGGCAAATATGGTGAAACCCCATCTCTACTAAAAATACAAAAAATTAGCTGGGTGTAGTGGCAGGCACTTGTAATCCCAGCTACTCGGGAGGCTGAGGCAGGAGAATCGCTTGAACACAGGGGGCTGAGGTTGCAGTGAGCCAAGATCTTGCCACTGCATTCCAGCCCTGGCAACAGAATGAGACTCCGAAACAAACAAACAAACATCATAGCAAAGACTGCTAATTCACTAGCAATTCAGCCTCTCATTTACAGACCTCAATGAAGTTCCAACCAGTATATACAGATGCTGGTACAGATTGTAGGGTGTGACTTCAAGTAAAGTACTTTAGAAGCAAAGGCAGGGGTAGATGTGGATCAGTGGACTTGCACATAAAAGTCAAAGTGTCCTCAAGAAAGCTGAGATGAGAGACAAAGGGATAACTAGGTTCCCGGTGAAATCCTGGTATATGTACACCAAATATGGACTGCCTGTCTCCAGACTTCTTATCAGAAAAAAGTCCAGTCCCTACTCGGTTTAAGCACTGTTTTGAGGTCTGTTATTAGAAATAAAATTCAATTACCAATAGATACAAAGAAAATGTACAATTCACATTTTTATAATTATTACTGAAATTCCATTCAAAAAGGCCATTTCAAGTGCAGTCTACCATTGCCACTAAGGAGTTTTTCACCTAACACTTCCCTCAATACTTAACAACATCAACATTTTAAATTTAATCTGATAGTAAAATGCACAGAAGTTTTTAGTTTTCTTTTCCCAATGTTGTTTAAATTATGTTTTCCTGATCAGCACTGAGGCTGAACAGATTTTCATGATTTGATTGGCCATATTATTTTATTAATTGACAGCTCTAATAATTTTTATGAATGGTTTTTATTTTTTAGTCTACATTTAAAAAGTGCTTTTGTGTCATTTATATTCTTATTTTATTATTTGGACCTAAAGTACACGTAGTGAAGTAAACTGCAGTCTCTAATTAATGAGACACTGCATTAGGAGTGCAAGCAAAGGTCTCCCCTTTCTTTTCTCATTTTCTTTGATTTTATATTTTCATTTTATTGTATTCTATTTTTTATGCTATGTTACATTTTATCAGATAAACGTTATTGTCATTTTCACAGCTTTCTCAAATACAGGTTTTGTCACAATTTTTTAAGTTAATATTAAATATGCCAGTATGTAGAGTAAAATTTATTACAAAGAATGAATTTGTATATTTGTATTAGTCTGTTCTCATTCTGCCAATAAAGACATACCTGAGACTGGGTAATTAATAAGGCAATGAGGTTTAATTGACTCAAAGTTAAGCATAACTATGGAGGCATCAAAAAACTTACAATCATGGCAGAAGGGGAAGCAAACACTTGCTTCTTCACATGGCAGCAGGAAAGAGAAGAATGAGCAAAAGGGGGGAAACCCCTTATAAAACAATCAGATCTCACGAGAACTCGCTCACTATCATGAAAATAGCATGAAGGTAACCTCCTCCATGGTTCAGTTACATCTCCTCGAGTTATTCCCACGACACATGGGGATTATGGGAACTACAATTCAAGATAAGATTTGGGTGGGGACATAGCTAAACCATATCAATATCTGACTCTAAATTTATATGTATTTAAACATTTATTAGAGAAATTATGACTTAACTAAGTAAAAATTCACTATGAGAAAGAATATTTTAAAATTTGCAATGGAGACATAAAATTAGGTAAACCAGAGGCCCTTGAGTTTCAAGTTGCTGTACTAAATTATTCTCACTTATAGTTGTATAAATGAGATCTGATTCTCTTCATGCCTGAATATCATAGCTATCATTTTTTAATGTTACTTTATCATTTTGAACATTGTAATTACAATATGCTTTGCATTCTTATTTAGAGCAAATTCATTATATATCAGATGGTTTATACTTTCACCATTTTTTAAATGCCAAACCTATATAAAAAGATTATCTCTGGGGCCCTTAGAATTTCTTTGACACCATCAAGATGTTATCACTCAAATTTTTTATTAGTCACATTCCACATATATGCTTTTAAAACCTTTAGTTATCTCAGAATAAGAGTGAAAGTTTAAAATATGTAATTAAACACTACCTGTATTTCATTCAGCAATCAGAGAGAAAAAAACACGTATGTTCTGTAAAGCCTCTCATTCAACCATTATAAGTGGTTTAGGACTACATCTAGTTATTAATGAGAATACTCTCTAACATATTCAGAACTCCAGAAGTGAGAACCAAGGTTCAAAGAATGTAAGAGCCTAGGGTCTTAAATTGTCCCATGGATTATAAATACATCTAGGTCATGCCTCTTGAAATAATAATAAGTATGTGGGAAAAAATAACCAGAACGAAAGGTATTTTTTAGAGGAAGATCTTTTTTCCACTCAGGTCTACATTGTTTTGTCTTACACGTACCCTTGAGGAACTTGTAGATGTTTTATACATTTCCAAAAATATCTAATACAATTTTAGAACTCTCCTTTTACTAGTAAAAAGTATGTTTTATTACTCATTGTTTCAATTATGTTGAGCATAAATTTCTGAAATTTTATATCATATACATTAGGTAAGTATAGATACCTCTTTTTTCTAGAACTCACATCAACTTATATATGAATATTTTAAGTATTTTTTAAGTATGCAATATGGTAAGCTTAATTTTTAAATTTTTCAAAAATATACATAAAGTAAAAATCGAAAATTAAAATAGTCTATAATTTCACCAATTAAGGAAAAGCAATATAGCCATGGGTTTTAAAACTTGTGTATGTGTATGTGTGTGCATGTATATAAAAACTTATAGAATTATCTTGATAATTGACACCTATATTTTTCTTAATAAAATCGTCTTTTTGTAGACACTAACTCAGAGATTTTCATTGAACAGAGGTTAGAAACTTGTTTTATATCTCTATGGCTAATTTTCATAGTGTTCACTCCCTAAACAAAGACAAATCTACTCAAAGAACAAACAAAAATTACACATTTTATTAAAACTGATTGTTTTACTTTTAAGATGTCATGCCCATCTTTACATGCCACTAAATATACCTGAAAATATTACTGCAATGGCAACATTGTTACTTTGATGAGTGCCTCATAACAACCTAAGCCAAATAAATTTATTTTCTTGGATATTTTACTTATTGCTTTTTTTTTTTTGCTAGCCTAAAGTTTGTAAGTAACCACTCTTAAATGTGATACAACAATATATCCTAAGTTACATTGTTAGTTGTATATTTGGTTTTGATCTAATGGAAAAGAAAGGCTTAAGTATTTTACATTAAATTGTTTTCCAGGTAATAGAAATTCATGGGTGCAGGAGCTTTTAATTTCTTTAGTTTCCATTTCTCTCTTGGATTACTACTTTCCTTTACCTTGAGAGTCAAGAGATAAGTTGTATACAGACACATACACACACACACACACACACACACACACACACACACACTGGCTCTCTCGATAATCATGACATGAACACATCAGTTGTCACTCTTAGATTAGACCAAAACATTTGTAAAATGTTTATCTTTAATAAACATATATTCTGGACAAATATTAATGTAAAAATCAGAGAAAATAAAACATGACAAGGTCTTCAAAAGATTTCAGATTCAAATAATATTGTAAATTTCTTTATATAACAGATATCTGTATTAGTCTGTTTTCACACTGCTTTAAAGATACTAAAAATACCACAGACTAGGTAATTTCTAAAGCAAAAAGGTTTAATTGACTCACAGTTCCACATAGCTGGGGAAGCCTCAGGAAACTTACAATTATGGTAGAAGGGGAAGAGGCACATCTTACATGGCGGCAGGCAAGGGAGAACGAGCAACAGCAGGGAAAACTGCCTTATAAAACCATTGGATATTGTGAGAACTCACTTACTATTATGAGGGCAGCATGAGGGAAACTGCCCCAATGATCCAATCACCTTGCTCTTTGTCCCTCCCTTGACATGTGGGGATTATGGGGATTACAATTTGAGATGAGATTTGGGTAGGAACACATGATTATGTTTTGAAATGTGAGAATGTGAGAATTGGGAGAGGCCATGGGCGGGATGATATGGTTTTGAAATCCTCACATTTCAATCATGCCTTTCCAGCAGTCTCCCAAAGTCGTAACAATGTAGACTTTTGGCATTAACCCAAAGTCTACATTCCAAAGTCTCATCTGAAACAAGGCAAGTCCTTTCCACCTGTGAGCCAGTAAAATAAAAAACAAGTTAGTTCCCTCCAAGATACAATGGTATTACAGGCATTGGATAAATACACCTGTTCCAAGTGGGATAAATTTTCCAAACTTATATGCTCTCCTTCCTTTTTAAACATAAGTTCCAATTTTGGATCAAAACAAAAAGGCTACAGGCTCCATGCAAGTCCAAAAATCCAGTGGGGCAGTCATTACATCCTAAAGCTCTAAAATAATCGCCTTTGACTTCATGTCTCACATCCAGGTCATGCTGATGCAAGGGGTGGGCTCCCACAGTCTGGGGAAGCTCTGCCCCAGTGGCTTTGCAGGGTATAGCCTTTCTCCTGGCTGCTTTCACAGGCTGGCATTGAGCATCTGTGGCTTTTCCAGGTGGACAGTGCAAGCTGTCAGTGGATCTACCATTCTGGGGTCTGGAGGATGGTGGTCCTCTTCTCACAGCTCTACTAGACAGTGCCCCAGTGGAGATTTTGTTTGGGGGCTCTGACCCCACATTTCCCTTCCACACTGTCCTAACAGAGGGAGGATTCACCCCTGCAGCGAACTTCTGCCTGGACATCCAGACATCTCCATACATCCTGTCAAATCTAGGCAGAAGTTCCCAAACCTTAATTCTTGACTTCTGTGCATACACAGGCCCAACACCACATATAAGCCATGAGGGTTTGGAGCTTATACCCTCTGAAGAAATGGGCTGAACTATATGTTGGCTTCTTTTAGCCATGGCTAGGAACAAGGGCACCAAGTCTTGAGACAGCACAAAGCAGCAAGTCCCTGTGCACAGCCCACAAAACCATTTTTTCCTTCAAGGCCTCTGGGCTTATGATGTGAGGGGCCGCTGTGAAGACCTCTGACATGCCCTGGAGACATTTTCCTCATTTTCTTGGCTATTAACATTCAGCTCCTCATTACTTATGCAAATGTCTGCAGCCAGCTTAAATTTTTCCCTAGGAAATGAGTTTTTCTTTACATCGCATACTCAGGCTGTAAATTTTCCAAAATTATATGCTCTCCTTCCTTTTTAAACGTTAAATTCCAATTTCAGATCATCTCTCTCAAGTTCAGAGTTCCACAGATCTCTAGGGCAGGGGCAAAATGCCACCAGTGTCTTTGCTAAAACATAGCAAGAGTGACCTTTGTTCCTGTTCCCAATACGTTCCTCATCTCCATCTGAGACCACCTCAGACTGAATTTCATTGTCCATATAACTATCAGCATTGTGACCAAAACCATTCAGCAAGGCTCTAGGAATTTCCAAACTATCCCACACCTCCCTATCTTCTTCTGAGCTTTCCAAATTTTTCCACCCTCTGCCTGTTACCCAGTTCCAGAGTCACTTCCAGTTCTCAGGTATCTTATAGCAATGCCCCAGTACCTTGGTACCAATTTACTGTATTAGTCCATTTTCACACTGCTATAAAGAAATACCTGAGACTGGGTAATTTATAAAGCAAAGAGGTTTAATTGACTCACAGTTCCACATGGCTGGGGAGGCCTCAGAAAACTTACAATCATGGCAGAAGGTAAAGGGGAAGCAAGGACCTTCTTCATATGGTGGCAGGAGAGAGATGCGTGAGTGTGGGAAAGGCCAGATGCTTATAAAACCACCAGATCTCATGAGAACTCACTCACTATCATGAGAACCGCATGAGGGAAATCGCCCTCATGACCCATTCACCTCCCACCTTGTCCCTCCCTCGCCATGTGGGGATTATGGGCATTATAATTTGAGATGAGATGAGATTTGAGTGAGGCACAAATCTACCATATTAATATCATAAATAATTATACAAATATAAATTTATATGTTACTTCATAGGAGAAAACTGCAAAGTTCTTACAGTTACCCATAAATCCACTAGGTATGACTTAGCTCATGCAACTAATTAAACTTGGGACTGAATAGTGTGTGAAGTAATCACATTTAAAAGATGTGTATAAAGGTTAGTTCTATAGCTCAGATGTGGACTCTTTCTCTTACTGGACCAACTGTTTTTCACATGATATAGTTTACCAAGTGAAAAAGCTCTGTGATTCAATTTTGATTTAATATCTGACCATGTGTCATGTATACTTCAAAATAAAGTTGCACTTTGCTATCATTCTCCACAAATGATACATTCTTCTCCAAATTATACAACTATGGTATAATGTTAAAGATCCATTTCTTGCAAAAGAACATCATGTAATACCAGGTACATGTGTATGAGAAGTAGCTAAAAGAATCATTATCAAATAAGAATAAATTTTCTATATCTTTGTTGAAGTCTTTATTTTTTTCTTTGAATTCAAAAGATGATATGCTAACACATAAGCATTCAAATACACATAAATCGCACACACACACACACACACACACACTACCTTTACATGAACAAAATTGTAACTTGGGTTTTCAATTCCAATATTAAAGAGGTATCTGGTGTTGTTGTCGTTGTTGTTGTTGTTGTTGTTTAATCTCGGAAAACAAACTGTGGAGATGTATTGGTTTGCCAAAAATATCTGTATGGTTTAAGAAAGGAAATAGGTAGGAAATGTAGACCTGGGAATGAGTGACATTTGCAGATTATGCAAAGACCCACAACATGCATTTTAAAGGAAATTTACGTGAGTGGGATGAGAGGAGGGAAAGTAAAAAGTTAATGGCAGCTTTTTGGCAAAACAAGAAATCTTGAAGAATTTTCTTTGCTTCCTTTTTTGCCTTTAATGAAAACCAAGGGCAATTAAGGAAGACGTGTAAAGTCAGCATTTAAACTGTAAAATCAATGTTCTGTGCTCTAAAACTGGCTTCACTTTTTCTCGTATACAAGATATTTGGTAACATCTATTAGCTTTACTTTCTTCCTTCACATGACCTGTAAAATGGTGCTTAAAAAGAGATGCTACATCACGAGGTGGCTGTGATGATTGTGAGTGATCACACATACGAAGCATATCACGGAGTTGATACATAGTAAGGATTTGAACTTTGTTATTTATGATTATTTTGCTATCAATATCAGTTCTAACTCGATAGGTCCAAAAAGTGAAGGAAAAAAAAAAGGAAAAGAAAGTATACTACCAAACATGGGGGAGCCATACTACTCATAACAAATGTAACCTAGTTTTCATGTCATTTTCTATAACATACACTTATTTCTCTAATCTGAGTGAATCTTCATACACTTTCCTTTATTAGAAGGTCTCCTCCCTCATCACATTGCTAAATCATAGGTCAAATTAGAATTATCTGTGAAGCTCAGTTTAGCATCTAACTTGTAGAACTTCATCCAGTTTCCCCAGATAAAAACATAATGCCAAATTAGTGATTTTACCAGTGATAGTAATAAGCATAGGAACCGATAAATTTTACTAAGCACATATTATTTGCTGGGCATTTTTGTAAGCAATTTATATACATTTTCTCCTTCAATCTTCACAGCAACATTATTTTACAGCATGAATGCAGAAACTGAGGCACAGAGAGGTAAACAAATTTGCTAAAGGCAGCATAGCTAAATTCTCTTTCTAAATTTCCACATTATTTTATATATACTCTCTTAATGAGCTTTTTCTTCCTTCTTACTTTTCTTTTTTATTGCTGCAAATACGTTTGACCTACTCAATTTGAGGTACTTAATTAAAAGTTGTTTTTGCAATTCTGGATTAGTTTGAATTTCTATGCCTAATAAATGTGAATCAAAGACATTTATTCATTTTGAATCATTTGCTGTAGAAGAGACTAATCAGATATATACAGAACCTTGCCCAAACTGCAAAGCAAACATGAGTATGATCAGTCCCTGATGGATTAAAATAATTGGTGACTTTGTTATCTGCCTAGTAAGGTTGACCTATATGTGGAAAAACAAGAAGTTATCCAGAGGCTAATTATAGACTTTTTCATATACATTGTCAAGTGCTTAAGTTTTAAAACACCAAGTATTTCAAAAGACACGCTCAATTTTTTAAGGAAATCAACTGACAAATTGACAACAGAAATAAATCCAAAATTGACTGAGACTCATTGAAGTTACTAAAGAAGGGTTTTAAAACTGTTATGATAAGTTTTATAAGATGATAGAGGAGAAGATGGAGAAAATTATAGACAAAACAGAGAATTTCACCAAATGATTAGAATTCACTAAGAACATTCAGCTGAATATTTTAAACTGAAAAATAAAAATAATTTAGATTAGGAACCTCAAAATAAATAGCAGAATATTAGACACAACAGAGAAGAGAATTAGCAAACTTGAAGACAAAAGAAAATATACAGTCTGAGAACAGAATTTAGAAAAGGGGAGAAAAATACAGAAAAAAAAATAAAAGAGCCACATAAAGCAAAGAACAAATTGAAATGATTTATTGTACATGTAATTGGAGTCCTAGAAAGAGAGGTGAAAAAAATGGAGTAGAAGCAAAATATGAAGGCATAATTGCCAAGAATTGTCTAAAGCAAATAAAAAGAATTACCAAGAAGTCCTATAAATCCCAAATAAAACAAAGCCACACTAGGCCATGTCATAGAAAAAAGTTCACCACAAAAGACACAAGAAAGATAAGAGCAGCTAAAAAAAATGAAAAAATGTATTTCAAAGGAACAACAATAAGAATAATAGCTTCAAGTTTTCACTGAAGCATAAAGAGAGAAAACCTTTCACACTTCACTTTATGGATCCAGCATGACCTACAAACCAAAACCTAACCAGGATATCACAAGAAAGAAAAATTACAGACAAAACTTCTATGCACATAAATGCAAAAATGATAAACAGATTATTGGAAAACCCGATCTGATATTGTATAAATGGAACACAATATTATGATAATTGTGGTTTATTTCCTAAAATAAAAGGTTGGTTCAACATGAGAAAATCTATTAATATGTTTACCATATAATGAGGAAAAATGAGAAAAACTAAGAATGCTCATATTAAAAGATACAGTAAACATTGACAGGAATCATGTATGCCTTAATATGGGCAGAGATTCCTGCATATATAGATAGTATAGATTTGCACATGTGAGTTAGTAGACATTCCTACTGTATCTTTTGCTCTGTCAGCTAGGAGGGCATAGAAGCAATGACACCACAGTAGCAATAAGCATGTCTAGCACCTAGATCTTATTTTCCAATACAATTCTCCAATAAAAGGAAGCAGGCTCTTGGGAGATATGGATGATTCTAAGACTGGGAATAAAATATGGAAAATAAGCCTGAATAGTGTTTTAGTGTCTAAGAGTAAGAAAGCATTCAGGAAAAAGTAAGAAAGGGTTCAGAAAATACATCAGTGGGAATATGTCAGACATAGATGCCAACTCTACTGCAGTTGTCAAAGCTGAAACAATCTGAGTAACAAAATAAATAATGTAATGTTGAATATACCCATAGCATGAAAGAACTTTCTCCTTTCTTTCATACAAATGTAAATAAATGATCAAATACATAAATAGGAGAGAATAGATAATTTTCTCATACAGAAGAATGTTAAAAGATTTATGTAGATATTGCTCCTTTAATAGATGAAACAAAACTTGCCACTCTAAGTGTGGACTACATGCAGTGACTTTCTTGCAAGTGTTCAGTATGAAAATGTGGGAAAAGAAAAACTTTTGTAGTAGAAAATTCTGACAAACATTACCTCAGCCAGGTAGTCAAAGTCAACATCAACAGTGATAAGCCATGTACCATTGACATGATATGCTTAGAATGGCACTTCACTTCCATGGTCTTCCTCTTTTTGGAAGAAACTTCTGGATTGTTGCTAATGTTCTATTTCTTAATCTGAATACTGATTATGTATGGATGTTCACTTTGTGAAAATTTAGTGAGCTGTACAGTAATTATTTGTAAACTTTTCTGCACATATGTTATATTTAGTATAATTTCTAAAATGTAGTTGTCCAAATTAATGTACAAATGTTTTATTCTTTCTAACAATAGCTGCCTATAACTAGCAAATACTAGAAGCCTGATACCAAGTACTTTGCCTTGTATCAAGGACAAATTGGTAGAAAAAGCTTAGAAATGATTTTGTCAAAAACCAAATACTTATTCAACATATTAAGCCTATGTATTGATTGAAATTATCTATGGAATTTCTTTTTTTTAAACGTGAGTTTCCATGGGTTTTGTTTCTTTGTTTGTTACCAATCACTTAATTTTCCTACAAAGTGCAACATAAAATAGAAATATGCCAGTAAGAGTTAGTTATTTCTTCATTGAAAATATGCTAATTTACAGAAAACATTTTTTTGATCTTGTATTAGCTATCCATTGTTGTATAGTAAATTACTATAAGCTCAGAGACTTTAAAACCAACATACACATTTATTATCTCTCAGTTTCTGTGGCTCAGGAATTAGGGCTCAGCTTACCTGAGTTATCTGACTCAGAATCACTCCCAAAGCTACAATCATTATATGAACTAAGGCTGCATCTCAAAGCTAGACTATGGAAAGATTTGCTTTCAAGAGTACAAGGTTACTGGCAGAATTCGGTTCTTTTAGGGCCCTTAGACTGAGGGCGCTATTTCCTAGCTGCCTGTTGGCTGGAGATTGCCTTCAGTTTCTTAGCCTGTGGGTATCCCAAAATGACAACTTGGCTCTTCAAAGACAGCAATTGAGAGATTCTGCTACCAAGAAGGAACTTATGTGAATTTTATGTGACCTATTCAGAGAAGTGACGTTTCGTAGCCTTTGCTGTATTCCATTATTTTAAAGCAAGTCACAGTGAATGAGAGAGGATTACACAAGCGCATGTATACCAGGAAGTTGAGACAATGTTAAGGTTTGTCTACCACAGAACAAAAAAGAAGAAGAAAAAGAAAGAAGAAAAAAGGAAGAAGAAAGAAGAGGAAGAAGGAGGAGGAGGAGGAGGAGGAAGAGGAGGAGGAAGTTAAAATCAATAATGGAAGATGAGCAAATGCCAAAAATATTGCTGATAAATTTCTGTGCAAAGCTAAATTTCTTTATCTTACTTTATCTACCATTGTGAAGGTATGACCTCAATATATTTTCATGGAACAAGGTATTTAATTGTTTAGACCCTGGGCATACAGATTAGTTATCTCTGGCTTCAATTTACCACATATACCTTTACCTTGTATTATACAGACATAGCCAAAGGGTAAACATTAAGAGCAACTCAGATTACAGAGAGTTGTCAGCTAGACCAGTTGAGTTGCATTCCACTCTAGAAGCACAAGCATAAACAGTTTCTGTATAGACATTCATGATTTTTGAGCTCAGCAGTCAGTTAAAATATCAACCAGATGTCAAAATACATCACCAAACAATATTTTTATCCTACATCTTCTAGTTCCATAAGGATGAATCATTCAAAGCAGAAAATATACATTTTAACACTAAATACTGAAGCTAGTTGTGAAATTGAGGTAAGAAATATGTTAAGATAACATAAAAACAATGTTTTTGTTATCAATAATCTTACCTACTTTATTATTTGAGATCTTTGGAGTGTTTCCAACCTTGATTTGTGTACCTGCTGTTGTTTTCAAGAATTACTGAACTCTAATAATTTTCACTAGAGAGAGCTTCTTGGGGCCTGCTTTTCCTTTTAGGAATATCATCTTTTCTGCATATTCCCAAGCTATAATTTGTGAGCCAAGCTTTAATATGCTACATGTTTCAAATATATTATAATTTTATATGGAGACGGACAAAGAGAACAAAATAATTAACACACAACGTATTACCCATTTGTTTTAATAGTTTCACTCATGATTGGAGTCACACATGATGGTTAAAATATCTGTTGATGCATAGTAGGCTTTTGCAATTTTGCTTAAGTATCACTGTCCTCAATTCAAATGCTTTTCTCTTTTTAATGTATTTTTAAGATGTCCATTCTGTAAAATTCTGTAATTTTCATAGTAAAATATCATGTCCACCTCCAGCTTAATAAATTGTTAAAAGATATGATTCTATTCTTAATTGGCAAACTGGAATAGATAATAATTCCAGCTATTTGATACAGACTCTAAATTCAAACTCTGGATTGCTTAACAAGTTTAGGTCAGGGAGTACATTCTAATAAAAGGATTATCTGAAATGGGATGCACTCCCTGTTTCTCTGCAGGTAGTTTAAAATCTATTCTTGTCTGATATAAGACCATGATAACTGTGTTTTTTAGGAGATTGTTTAGCTAGTGTGTTTATTTGGCTTTAAGGAAAGAAGATTTATTGTATTAACAAAGAGATACTGTGAAGGTTGTTATGGCAAATAGCCCTTCAACTCTGTCTTCTGTATATGTGGTAAGCATGTCATTCACAATACATTCCATAGCATCCTATAAGACATTAGAGAAAAGGTTTTTTCAGATATTAATAAGAGGATAGTTTTGCTTCTTGTGAGCAAATGTTTTTATTTTATGGACACTGACTGGATCCTCTAATTAATCATGTTTTCTACTTTTCCTTCTGGGAAATATAGCATGCAAAGGTAACACATATTAGTAAGTTACATGACTCTCTGACCTAGGCCCTGTATATAAAATCTAATACTATTTTCATGTGCTTTTTCTATTCTCACTGGTTGGTCACCAGTTTTTCTATTTTCCATTGTTCCTCTTTCCCCATCTGCCTCTGAGTGTGTATATTTAAATCCCAAGTTCTTTAAGAGGGATGGCCGGGTGCTGTGGCTCACACCTGTAATCCCAGCACTTTGAGGGGCTGAGGTGGGCGGATCATGATGTCAAGAAATGGAGACCATCCTGTCCAACATGGTGAAACACCGCCTCTACTAAAAATACAAAAATTAGCTGGGTGTGGTGGTGCATACCTGTAGTCCCAGCTACTCGGGACACTGAGACAGGAGAATCACTTGAACCCAGGAGGAGGAGGTTGCAGTGAGCCAAGATCGTGCCACTGCACTCCAGCCTGGTGACAGAGCTAGATTTTGTCTTTAAAAAATAAAAATAAAAATAAAAATAAAAAGATGGAAAGTGAATATATAGATGCACACACACATATACAAATACATATGCATATACATTTATATGTGAAGTTAATATATGTACAATGAATATGTATGCATAATGGAAGTGCAATTGTATATATGTGCATACAAATATATGTATACATATATTTATAGTGTAATTGTATATATGTGCATACCAATATATGTATACATTATATTTATACATATGTAAATATATGTATACAAACATATGTGTATATATGTATTTTGCATGTATGTGTATGTAACCAAAATCTTTTTACATTACACTTCTGAGCAGCATGGTTAAAGATGTATTTGCTGACATTTTGAATTTTATGAATATAGAAAATTAGGAGTAATGACAATTATTAGAGTGATTCAACCTTACTGCTGCCATAACTAAAATAAATTTAAAAGTTTTGTACATTACTTGTGAATATCTCCAAATGAAAAGACTAATCTGTGCTTAAGATATGGTTTAATTACCTTTTAACTCACCTCCTATGTAACTTTTCAGACATCAAATATATTACATAATAAATTGTTTACATATCAGTTGCCCTGGTCACCTTATTTTTGAGATCTAAAAACTTATAATATCTATATTTTTATTTAAGTTCCTAATATAATGCTTGATTTAATGAAATAAAAAAAGATGAAAAATGAATAAAGGACTGTTACTGACATTACATAAACCTGGATAGAGTTATAGTGGTCATTTTTTCTAGTGGCTAAATTGCAATTAATTACAAAACCTAATTAAATATGTGTTTGTTGGTAATATAGAGCACTGTTCTCACAAACAAAACTTTATAAACTTAACTTTTATAAAACTAAATGGAAATATAAACTGGTTAATATTATCAAAATGTCCAGAAACAGAACATAAAGCATAAAACTAATAAACAATCTGATTGAACCTAAACTTAAAGGAAAAGTATTCAGTTTTGGATATAAGTGTACAAATTTCATATCGAGACCATGCTGCATATAGATTGGAGAATCTATATTTTATTTTAATATATCTAATATCTATGTGGACTTTTTGTATGAGAAGCAGTGGGAGCTGTTATTATGTATTGGCTTTTTAAAAATAAAAGCAAGCCTTTTTGCAACTATTTTTCATCACAGAAATTATGTTAATTTTACATTTTAAATAGAATTAAGCACCATTTGGAGATATACTACAGTTACTAAACTCTCTTTCTGTGTGTGTGTGTGTATGTATATATATATATGTATATATACACAAAATGAATTTTATATTAGTAAGAAGAGCAAGGTCAGACTGTAGGCTGATCTATGGAAACAGATGGGTTTTCTTTTCTTACGCTAAGGCTAAGATCCTATTGAAGACAAAAATAAATGATTTGCCGGTGAACGAGGAAATCTCAAAGAGAGAATACTGTAAGCTAGCTGACTCATGATTAAATTATTGTGGCTACTTGATGACCTGCTGATTTGCCATGTCAAACTTCACAAATTCCAAATGACTTTCTTCTTTTCACATTCAAATATTTCTCTCCAAATAAAGGAGACTTCCACAGGGGGGTGATGGGATTAAAATTAAAAAGAGAATATCAATTTGTTGTGTTGTTGGATCAGAGAAAACAATTATTTTTCACATATCTACATATAAAAATCCTGATACCTAATCTCATTAAAACTCCCTTAGTTTCAAAGGCATCAAGTTGTGCACTAAAGATAAAGATAAATTTCTAGAATTCTTATTGTGTTTTTTTGAGACAAATTTTAAAATAAATAGAAATGCAAAGTTGGCTTATTGTTTTGAGAATCCCAAGTCAACTGAGGTTCCAGCACCAGAACAGCTAGCAACCTTGCCCCAAAGGGAAATGAAGGGGAGTTGGGCTAGTGTATTTACAGGGTGCCTTTCATGGAATACTTCTTTACCTGGCAGATGGCCTAATGCCTAGTTGTTTCACCCATGACCGGGGATCCCTCACGTGGGAAACTTGTTTAATACTGGCAGATGCCCTGGTGGCTCTTGTCTAATTCATGTCTAATGTATGCTTCCCTGACCATTACCCCGGTGCTGGCATCCCAAAATTGTGACTCCCATGCTACCCCACTCCACCCTCCTTATTCCAGAAAACCAGGCCTGGGGCAACCCCTAGTTTTTCGGAAGGAAGGAGCAAATTTACTACACTACCACAATATAAAAAAAAAAAAAAGGAACCTCAAAGGTTTTTACTTACAGATCCAGGGCAAAGAAGGCATAATGAGTCAGATGAGTCGAAACACTCCTTCATCCTGGGTTCACTGGAGGCAGGAATCAAGAGTAAGGCAGAGATAGTGAGCACATGACTACCAGTAGTACATTTAAGGGAATAGGGTGTATGTCACTCTAAGCTCACAGGCAATTGCCTGAATAGTCCATTTAAAAGAAACAGTGGGAAAGTGGGGAGCCCAGTCTGCATGACAAAGAGATGCCTGTAAATTCCTATCTCTGGCTACCGGCTTGAGCCAGTTGGATGGATATGGTGTAGAACTAGAAACTGAATCAAGGTTGACTGAGCCCTGCTTCTGGTATGAGAAAGTTAAACTTGTATTCAAAATGGATGCCAAAGCAACATAAAATTATGAGAATTCACTGCAGTTATTACGTTTACTTTATTACTCACATAGAAAATATTACATTACACATTTATTCTATTATAATATAATAAAAAACCTTCTATCAAAGATTATGATGTACATATTAAAAATTAAAATTTTAGAAAGGCCAATAGAGAATCATGCACTTAGCTAACACAATAAAATTAACCGTTCTGCTTTCCACATTAATGGTGTAAAAGAAAAATTTGTTAGAAACAATGACCCTACATTGTGTTTTGAATATTGTTATCTGAGGGCACTCTAAAGATCTCCAGGAATATGTTTTAATAAGATTTCAGAAATAGCTTCTCTGTTCTTCTGGATGGTTGAATTTGTTAATAGTTTTTCTCATCCATGTCTCCCATTCTAAACCTGGTCTTACAGGAACTGGAATCATATTCCTTTAAAAACAAATGTTGGTTTTGCTTCCTTATAAATTTTAAGATAAAAACTTAATAATTGCCTTATATAGGTTTTGTCCTAAAATGTTAAATTTTTGACATTAAATTACTAAAGGTCAGAATGATTATTTGTTCATGATAGGGCATGCACCACTGTTTTATCATCTGTGACAAGAAGGGTTATTTTGGTTTTGTTCTTCCATATCTTTCTCAGAACGCAGAAGCTAATTTCAAAATTATAAGAGAAAAACTGTCATTTTGCTCATTCCCCTGAATAATACAGATAAGTTTTCAAACACACATTCATGATCATCAGTATATCTACAGGCAGTTCATGCTAATATTATAAAAGCAAAGAAATAATTAAGTAGGCTTTATCCACCAATTTGTATCCAACTAATAGCAGCTGCATTGTACTATCTAAAATTTATAATTATTTAGTCATTGACAGAATCTGTTAACTTGTGGTATGATGATTTATCCCAATTTAATATTCAATCTCTATTCTCACAGGTGGTAATGGTAATTAAAAATAATGTTGACCACACAAAAAGTGCCTGATCTGTTCTGGTGTAAGAGTCCAACAAAAACAGAATTAGAATCTTTATTTGAATTCTAATTTTTTATTTTTTATTCTATTCTAATTTGCATGGCAAAGAGATGCCTGTAAATTCCTATCTCTGGGTTAGATAAATGGGTAGAAGACTTTAGCTATACACTGTTTGGAATGAGTCAGAAAAAAATTCTATTTGAGGATTTTGACTTAGAAGTAAAAAGGCAACTTGGTTGAGGACCAAACAGCAGTGTTTCCCAGAGAGTAATGGGTTTGAAATTGCCAAGAATAATTACAGTCTGCTTGAGAATGCAGAGAATGAAAACAACAAAAAACCCTGCCTAACTGAAAATGGTGAGTTCAGGCATTATAATTATAGCTACCATACATTTGACCTATGTCTTAAATATTCTTGACAAGTTTAAGGTGAAATTTAATTAGTAGAACTTCCAAAGTTGTTTTCTGTTTTAGAAAAGAAAGGTAACACTTGAACTTTTAATTACTCACTGTCAGAAAAATAGAGTGAGTTGGCAGTTAATTTTGTCAACAATAAATCTGTCCAGTCAATTTTTTTATATCTTCATATACATTATTTTAAAAAATTCTTGACACATCTAAGATATAATTAGAATCTCAAAAGTTTTTCCAACTATTTTAATATTTAATTCACTAAAACAGCCTGTGAAGAAGGCACAAAGTTAAGCAACAGAGTAAAAATGAGTTGGCCTTGCATTCATTTCAAATGCCCAAGGACTTTCTTTTGAAATGTATCATAGAACTGAACAGAAGAAAAACAAAGATTGAATATTCTTGATGAAAAACAAAGATTGAATATTCTTGATGATATGAGATTACTTATGTACATGACATTTTATGGAAATATTAAACAGATTTTCTCCTTTTCATTTATTTTCTATATGCCTCTAAAAGCTTTTTAAACTTTATATATACTAGGATTATCTGCAGTATGTGTTTAAAAATCCAGATCCCCATGTTCTCAATGCTAGAGGCTTATTTAGTGGGTCTGGAAACCTTCATTTTTAATAAGCATCTCAGAGGATTCCTCTGCTGAAGTGAAATTATATACTACATTTGCAAAACACTAATCTAGAAAATGTGAATGAATACCAATACCGGTTTTATCTTTATAACCTCACCGACTGTCAAACAGAGTAGTTTGAAAAGCTTGAAAGAGTTACCCTAAAAGGAGCTTAGAAGAACTAGAAGGGGGAGAAACAAAATAATTTCCTTAACAATGGTGATAAAGGTAAATCCATTATAGTTTGCATGGATGCAGAAAATGGTTTTATGGTTGGAGCTACACACTTATAAATACAGCCTGGCTCAAGCATCTATCTTTGGGAGTAAAGAATATTACTTTAATGTTTCTTTCTCAACTGTTCAGTACCACTTCAATAGAGTCCTAATTGAGACAGAGGATCAAAGTTGATTCTTTCTCTAGTCACAAAGATTATGTAGTCAGCCTGCCAAAAATCATTTATTTATCATGATAGATTCTGCATGGAGTATGCCAAATATCAAAATAAATTAAATAAGCTAAAATATTATTATTCCTTTTTGATTTGAAGTAAAATAATATGTATTTTCAGTTTACAATTATTGTATGTTATTGACACAATATTTAGAGTTAAAAAAGCAGAAAAAAAATCTTTAAATGTCCCATGTACCTATGATAAGCATTATTTATATTGGGTGGTTGCATATGTCATCAAAATGTTTCTGAGGGGACAAGTCTGTCATTCTTAAATTGAATCAGTTCTAAGTAGGAATAAAGTACCCATAACCCCTAAAATTCAGATTTCTTGAAGAATTTACCTTAGATAACCTGTATAAAAATAAAATTTTTAAAAGAAGAAAGCTAGAAGGACCGAGTTCTGCCTCCTGAGTAAGAATACTCTCAGAGAAAGCGCGTGAAAGAATAAAATAACTGTTGAACAAGATCCAAAACAAATATTTTGGAAAAAGCTATAAACTTGTTTGATGGAGGATCTTCCAAGTGAAATTCTGTGTGTTATGTGTTTAGTTCCCTCCTGATAGTTTCGTAAATCTTCATAAATATTCAATCTTCAACAATACAAGTGACAAAATATGCTGCGTATAATGAATATCATAAACACCAAGTTACACAATCAATCCAGGCAGTTATTTCCAGCCTTAGCAAATGCATACTCTCCTCCTAAACCCTGGCTTTCTGAAGGCATACAGATAATTTATCTTAAATGGAAATTGCAAAGAAAATATTTTCCGTGTCTGGCTTAATGGGTGTAGTGCTACCTTTTACTCTCTGTCTAGTTTGGGCTAGCCCTGTGGCCACCTATCCATTTGAATACTAGTCAGCAAGGATAATCATTTGTTTACAATTTTGAGCCATATTGTGCAAGTCTGATATGAAGTTGTCATCTTTTTGTCTTCCCAAATTGCAGGAAGAGCAGAAGTAGGGAGGAGCCCTTCTGCGGGTCAGTGGTAACTTAGAAATATGACTCCTTTTAGAATGCAATAATGAACAAGGAAGAAGTACCTGAAGGAGTGAAACACAATTATGATTCAAGAAAATTGAAAATTATTTCTTGCAACGAAAAGATGAATCTTAACCTGTAAGATGTAGACTTGGTGGGAAAACTAGCCAAAAATCAAACAGTTGCTTTGTATATAGTTTATCTTGTTACCCAAAGTTTACAAGTTGTGCAGGTGTTCCTATGCTGAGGTAAGCATTCCTAGAATGAATGAGTGCATCTGTTATGATGAAACTTATGTACACACTATTCTAAAACAAGAAGAATGTGGAATTAATAGAAGAAACAATAGAGACAGAGATCAAACCCTTTTTCAAATATTTTGCGATAAACTTTGTAATTTTCTTCCTCTTTATTAGCAACCTATAGAATTTGCAGTTTTCATTTTTTAAAACAATTTTTAATTGACAGATAATAGTTGTACATACTTATTAGGTATAGTGTGATATTTTGGTTCATGTATACAATATGTAATGATCAAATTAGGGTAATGATCAAATCATATCCATTACCTCAAATCTTTATCATTTATTTGTGTTGGGGACATTTAAAACCTTCTCTTCTAGCTATTTAAAAATATACAATAAAATATTTAACTATAGCCACAAAACAGTGCTATAGAACACTAGAATTTATTCTTCCTATGTAACTATAACTTTATGTCATTTAAGATCTGCCTCCACTTTCTAGCTTTTACTAGCTACCATTCTATTCTCTACTTCTATGAGATTAACTTATCTTTCTGTGCCCGACTTATTTCACTTAATATAATATCATCTAGGCTTACCCATGTTGCTGCAAATGACAGGTTGCCATTCTTTTCAATGGATGAATAATATTTTATATTGAATATATACAAAATTTTCCTTATCCATTATCTATTAATGGACACTTAGTTTGATTCCACATATTGACTATTGTGAATACTGCTGCAATTATCAAGGGGGTGGTGATATCTCTTCAATATACTGATTTCCTTTTCTTTGGATACATACCCAGCAGTATGATTACTGGATCATATGGTAGTTCTGTTGGTACTTTCTTCAGGACAGCACCCTCCCTGCCGTTTTCCATAATAATGGTACTAATTTACATCCCCACCAACATGGTAAAAGAGATCCCTTTTCACCACATTCTCTCCATCATTTATTACATTTTGTCTTTTAGATAAGAGCGATTCTTGCTGGGATAAAATGCTATCATTGCATTTCCCTAATGACTAGTAATGCTGAGTATTTAAAAACAAAATTTGTTTGACAATTTGTAGATTTTCTTTTTTAAAAAGTCTGTTTTTATCAACATTCACCAATTTTTAAATAATATTTATCTGTTTTCCTGTTGAATTGAGTTCCCTATATATTGTGGATATTAATCGCTGGTCAGGTTACTAGTTTGACAACATCTCCTCTCATTCTATAGGTTGTCTTTACACTGCGGTGGTAGATTTTTTTTATGTGCAGAACATTATCCGTTTATAACCACAATTGTTTGTTTTTGTTTTAGTGCATCTGCTTTTGAGGTCTTATCTATGATAAAATTGTTTCCCAGACCAATTTTCTAAAAATGTTTTTCCAGTTTTCTTCTAGTAGTATTAGAGTTTTGGGTCCTAAGTTTAAATCTTTAAGCCACTTTGATTTGGTTTTTGTGTATGGTGAGAGACAGGGATCTAGTTTCATTTTTCTGCATAGAAATATCCAGTTTTCCCAACACCATTCATGGAAGAGACTGCCATTTTCTCAATGCAGGTTCTTGGCTCCTCTGTGAAAAATTAGTTGGCTGTAAATACCTGGATTTATACATGGTTTCTCTATTCTGTTCCATTAGTCTATGTATCAGTTTTAAGGTGAGTACCACGCTGTTTTAGTCACTACAGCTTTGTAGTATATTTTGAAATCTGGTAGTGTGACGCCTCCAGCCTCATTTTTGTTTGGGATTGCTTTGGCTATTCAGAGTCATTTTTGGTTCCATACAAATTTCATAATGTTTTTTCTATTTCTATTGAGAATGTCATTGATATTTTGACTGAGAATGCATTGAATCTATAGATCTTTTTGGGAAATATGGTTGTTTTAACAGTATTAATTCTTCCAGTCCATTAACATGGGACATGTTTCCATTTTTTTGTTCTGTTCAATTTTCTTCCTCAATGTTTAATAGAGTTCCTTGTAGAGATATTTCATCTCCTTAGATAAATTCATTCCTAGATTTTTCAATAGTATTGTATGTAAATGGGATTGCTTTCTTGATTTCTTTTTAGCTAGTTTATTATTGGCATATAGCAATGTTATTGATTTTTGTATGTTGATTATTTTTATCCTGCAACTTTACTAAGTTTATCAGTTTAAGAGTTTTTTAGTGGAGTCTTCAGAGTTTTCTCTATATAAGATCATAT
The DNA here is from genome assembly GCF_000001405.40 of Homo sapiens. Taxonomy (NCBI): domain Eukaryota; kingdom Metazoa; phylum Chordata; class Mammalia; order Primates; family Hominidae; genus Homo; species Homo sapiens. The sequence continues at coordinate 57,228,892 of NC_000010.11, forward strand.
CATCTGCAAACTGAGATAACTTGCCTTCCTTGCTTTCAACTTGAATGCCATTTACTTCTTTCATTTTTCTAATTGCTCTGGCTAAAACTTCCACTACTATGTTGAATAACAGTAGTGTGAATGAGTATCTGTGTATTATTCCTGTTTTTTTTTTCAGCTTTTCATCATTCAGAATAATGCTAGCTGTGGGTTTGTCATATATGGCTTATATTGCATTGAGGTACATTTCTTCTATTCTTCACTTGTTTAGAGTTTTTTTTATCATAAGGCATTGTTGAATTTTATCAAATTATTTTCCTGCATCTATTCCTATAATTACATAAACTTATCTTTCATTCTGTTAATGTGAGGTATCGCATTGATTATTTGTGTATGTTGAACCATCCTTATATTCCTGGAATAAATCTCACTTAATCATGGTGTATACTCTTTTTGATGGGCTGTTGGGTTAGATATGGTAGTATTTTGTTGATGATTTTGCATCTATGTTCATCAGGGTTTTTGATCTGTTATTTTCTTTTTTGTTAGTTTCCTTACCTTGTTTTAGTATCCAGGCTATGCTGACCTCACTGAATGAGTTGGAAAGCATTATTTTCCCTTCAAGTTTTTCAAGTAGTTTGATAAAATTTTGCATTAATTTTTATTTAAATGTTTGGCAGAATCTAGCAATAAAGCTATCAAGTCTTGGGCTTTTGTTTGTTTGTTTGGGACAATTTTTATTGCTGATTCAATCTCATTACTCGTTGTTAGTTTGTTCAAGTTAATCTTTCCAAAATATAATTTTTCTTTTTTATCTTTTGTATTTTTTTAGTTTCTATTTTATTTACTTCTGTTCTCATTTTTATAATTTCTTCTTTTCTGCTAATTTGGGGATTGGTTTATAGTTGTTTGAGTTGTGTCCTTTGGTTGTTTATTTGAAATTATTTACATTTTTTATGTAGGCATTTATTGCTATAAACTTGCCTCTTAACACTACTTTTCTTGTATACAAAAAGTTTTGGTGTGTTGTTTTTGTTTACATTTGTTTCAACATATTTTTTTCCTTCCTTCCTTCTTAATTTCTTCATTAATCCGTTGGTTGTTCAGAAGCATGTTGTTTAATTTATATGTATTTGTATAGTTCAAAAGTTTCTCTTGTTATTCATTACCAGTTTTATTGCTTGGGGTAAGAAAATATGCTTGATCTGATTTCAGTTAAAACAAATTTAGACTTGTTTTGTGGACCAACATATAGGCAATCCTGGACCATATGCTAATGAAAAGTATGTGCATTTTCCAAATTTTGAGCTGCTGGGTGAAATGTTCTGCAACATCTATTAGGTTCATTTGGTCTATAGTACCATTGAATTTAATGTTTTGGGAGTGATTTTGTGCATTTTCTGGCTAGATGATCTGTCCAATGCTAAGAGTGGAGTATTAAAGTCCCCAGCTATTATTGTATTGGAATTGGTCTCTTCCTGTTAATTTAATGTTATTTCAAAAGACCTGTCTTCAAGTTTACAAGTTCTCCCCGTTGCTTTGTCTAGTCTGTTTGTGAAGCTCTCAATTGAATTTTTCATTTCATTTATTGAATTCTTCACATTGAAGATTTCTGTTTAGTTCTTTTTTTAATATCTCTGTTGAAATTTTCACTAAGATCATGACTTTTACTTTCTAATTTTGTTGAATTTTCTATCTATATTATCTTGTATCTTACTGAGCTTCCTTAAGATTATTATTTTGAATTTCTTTTCAGCATTTTGTATATTTCCTTTTTTAGGAAGACTGTCATTGTAGAATTATTGTGTTTCTTTGGGTTTATCATGTTTCCTTGAAATGTTATGCTTCTTTTGCCTCTATGTTGATATTTGGGCATCTAGTGACAGTGGCCTCTTCCAATCTTATGAAGTAGATTTCATAGGAAAAGATTTATTTATATAAATGGGTCCTGTGGTGTCAATTGGGTGGGTTCACTGGCTTTGGCTCTGGGTGGATGCAGTAGTATAGCCTCTGTGTAGTAAATTCATCCATAATCTATTTTAGCAATGTTTGTGAGTTCCTCAGTAGCCTAGAATGCAGAAGTTTGTAGTAGCAGAGGTGCAGTTTTGCTGGGGGTTGTCTCACTGGCTTGTTCCTCATGTCAATCACATATGTACAAGCAGTCAGTAGGCTAGATTGGGGACTGGTTACTGGGATCAGGAATGTCATACTGTTTCTTTCACCAGGGGTGAAATACATGCCATATCCATACATGCTATGGCTGCTTAATCAGCTCAGGAGGACTGCAAGAGTGGATCCTGGGCTGTTCCTTTGGCCAGGTGTGCAAGCCTGTGACTGCTTGTCTGGCTTGCGGGTGTGTCTGACAGAAACAGGTCTGCTGGTCTGGGTTTGCAGTCAGGGGAATTGGTATATGGGCTGCTTGGCTGGTTTACAGGCAGGTTTTCCAGGGGAAGATCCACCTGGCTGGTTCTCTTGTCAAGGGTCATGTGGTCATGGCTGCTTGGTTGGCTTAGGAGTATGTTCACTTGGGGCAGTTTGATTGGGATATGTCTCTGTCTAGGGGTGTGGGCATGTGGCTGCTCAGCTGACTCAAGTGTGGGTCCCCTGGGCCATTTTTCCAGCTGGGAGTGGGAGCACATAGTGGTTCTCCTGGCTTGGAGTTGGTATCCCTACTGTGCAGGACTGGAGTCACAGCATTCCTGGGCCCAGACTCTGGGCAGTCAGAATTGTGGTATTCCAGCTACCCATTTAGGCCTGGGGAATGACAGCAGAGATTCAAGGCTGAAAAGACACAGTGGCTAATGGCCCCTAGAATGGGGGAACTCCAGCATTGGCTCCAGTTTTAATATGGCACTGTGATCAGCAGCCTGGGTCATGGACAGGTGAGGAGTACACACCTGTGCTCCTAATCTAGAGCAATGCAGTCATGTGAATTCCAGGCAGCTCCCCAAACTGTGCTCAGAGCTTGTAAGAACGATGGGATTTTCCTGTAGTAGGGGCTTCAGGTACCTGTGGTGTTGATGAAGGCTGTTGGAGGGTCTTCTGATTACATTTTCCTCACAAGGATAAATCCCTTCTGGCTCCAAGCTGGTCCAGGCAGGAAAAATAAGGCATCTGAGGAAGGATGCCTCACTCTCCTCTCTATGCTGTCATTGTGAGCTTTCACGCTCCACAGGGACCTCGCCACTTTCCTGGTGCACTCAAATGCTCTTTCTCAAATACTCCAGTCCAATTTATTACTCATTGCCTTGGTCCTTTTTCATGAAAGGGATGAGTCTAGGTGTGCCTAGTCAGTTATCTTGCTTACATTACACTACACTCTCCAGAACCTGCAATTTTCATTTGAAGAGAGAAAATGATTTATCTTTTAAAATTGTTGTGTTATCAAATGTATACAAATGCAAATTGAGAATTGCATTTGCCACTGACTCTTTCAAGCAGATTTATTTTAACAGCAGTAACCAGTGGATCCAATGCTTTTCAAAGTCACTTTTTAAAATTACAAGGATACATCTTCTTAATATTTCTATCATTTCTTTAAATCACAAAGCTTTCTGTATTTATATTTGGAATATTTTGCAAAAGGAAGGAATCCACGTAGTCAGAAATCAGAAAACTTGGATAAACCGTAGCTTCACAATTTATCCATTGTATGCTATAAGACAACATAAACATTGTGAAGGGCAGTTTTTCCCTCATTGTAAAGGGGAAATATTAGTATCTGTTCTGCATTTATTGCCATTTTTCTGTGAATATTATTTGTCATAATTTAGGTAAAGCCATGTGAAATTTTAAGTCTTGTACAAATATTATCTAAGAAGTTAGTTATGGTGGTGGGCAACCAAAGAGAGATCACTTTAAATTTTAATTTCAAGTCAATGTGTTCTGATTGCATTTCTCAGTGGCATCATCTAACTAGAAAATAGATATATTGCATTAGAAGCTTTTAGACAGATTTATTTAGTATCCCAAAGTTTAAAATGAACTCTACAAGTTCTTATTTCAGTAACTTTATTAGTCTGTTCTCATGCTGCTATGAAGAAATACCTGAGACTGGGTAATTCATAAAGAAAATTCATAAAGAAAACAAGATAATTTGAATCTACATATCCACATTAATGTCAACATTTATTAAATTCATTTATTAAGGTTTTTATTTTTAGGGTTTTTTTGAAATACATTTAACATTTTCTTAGCTCCAAGTACTACTTTTTACCATATTCACAATAAATAATGAGTATTTTTCTGAGTGATCTCAAGTCTGAAACACATTATTACATCTTCAGATTTAAATGTGGTAAAGAGTTAGGTCAAGAATAACCAGACTGGATGATGGTGCAAACCAATCTTTGCTGGCAATATACCACACTACTTGAGAAAATAGCTATCAAAATGCCCGTTTTGAATTAGTGTAGAAACTCAGACTTTATTTAAAAAGCATAAATCAGAAACATTTGGTTCAGTGTTTTTTTCATGTTCTGAGTCATGCTCTTTATTTGGTTCTTTTAAAGTTCTGTAGACAGCTCCACTAAGAAATTTATTGCAAAAAAACCATTTTCAGCATAGATTTGCAAATATTCAAATAACATATTAGAACTTAAGTTTTTTTCAACCTATAGTTAGAAATCACTCAATCTTCTTTTTGCATACAATAAAAATACTGTGTTGGGGTTTCTTAAGCAACCCTATAAAATTACCTAGTTTGGTTGTCACAAATTTGATTCATTTTGTATCTAAAGACATGTATTTAAATGTTATCTAACTGAATCAATTTAATAACAGGTTTTGGGGCCGGGCGCAGTGGCTCACGCCTGCAATCCCAGAACTTTGGGAGGTCGAGGTGGGCGGATCACGAGGTCAGGAGATCGAGACCATCCTGGAGAACATGGTGAAACCCCGTCTCTACTAAAAATACAAAAAAAAATTAGCTGGGCGTGGTGGCTGGTGCCTGTAGGCCCAGCTACTCGGGAGGCTGAGGCAGGAGAATGGCGTGAACCCAGGGGGCGGAGCTTGCAGTGAGTGGAGATCGCGCCACTGCACTCCAGCCTGGGAGACAGTGAGACTCCGGCTAAAAAAAAAAAAAAATAAAATAATAATAATAGGTTTTGGAAAACATTAAACACAAAGACAATACAACCCAAAAAACATCAGTAATAACCAAAACATTCAATTTTTGTTTTTTCTAATTAGCTTTTTAAATTTTCAAGTTGCATACTACTCCTTCTTGGGTTTCTTCTATCATTTAGGAGAAAATTATTATTTTAAATGTCTAAAATGTAGCATAATTCCAAAAACTAAATGAGATAATGTATGTGAAAGCATCTAACATAATAATCCTGGGACACTGTTGGTGTCCAAGAGAGATTCCATTTCTTCCTCTGTTTTCCTATATTAAAAACATTAAACTAAGGCATTTTCAGTCTTCCTGCCTTAAGTTTGGTCTCTCAGCAGACACTCTTTAAAAATATTTTAACTTTTATTTTAGATTCAGGGGTACACTTGCAGGTTTGTTATGTCCTTTTAACAGTATTCAAGGTCCGCCCAATCTGGTCCTTTTCCAAAAACTTAGTATTAGGTAGTTATTCATATTAATGGTGTACTAGTTCCTAGGGCTGCCATAACATAAAACAAATAGCTTAAAACAACAGAAATTTATTGTCTTATAGTTGTAGAAGCTAGAGGTCTGAAATCAAAATGTCAGCAGAGCCATATGCCCAAAGCAACCTGTAGGGGAAAATCCTTCCTTGCCTCAGTAATTTCTGGGGGCTTGTTGGCAAGTCTTAGGATTCCTTGGCTTGCAGCAAGGATTCCTATCTCTGCATCTGTTATTACATGGTATTTTCCTTGTATGTGTCTGTATTTCTCCATCTCTTGTCTTCTTGTAATAACACTAGTGCTATTGTATTAAGGGCCCACCCTAATTTCATCATAATTAATTACATCTACAATAAATCAATTTGCAAATAAAGTCACATTCTGTTGCAGTGGGTGCTTCAACATACCTTTTCTTGGGGACAAATTCAACCCATAAGGGACAGGGATAGATGGAAACACCAAAAAAGTCCTTCATATGTTACTGCAAGGACTCTCCTATGAAATGAATGATGGTAACCTCCTAAATTTTGTGTTGAAGCCTATTCCCCAGTGTGATGGTATTTGGAAGTTGGGACTTTGAGAATTATTAGCTTATGAGGATGATCCTCACGAATGAGATTAATGTTCTTACAAGAATAGACACCAGAGCTTGTTCTCTCTGTGCCTTCTGCTATGTGAAGATACAAAGAGAAGGTAGGAATCTGCAAACCACAAAGCTGGCCCACAATAAACAGCAGAACTGCCAGAACTTTGATCTTGGATTTTCCAGCCTCCAGAACTGTGAGAAATAAATACTTATTGTCTAAGCTATCTAATGTATGGTATTTTGTTACAGCAGCCTGTGCGGGCTAAGACAGACTCCATCAGTCAGCTAAGACATATTCCACTTCAGATATGCAATGTCCCTTCATCCATAGCCCCTCTTTCTTCTCTTTCTTGACCTCCTGGTTATCTTGGTCTTTTGATATTAGCCCTTCTGATTTTCTCAGGCATGTGATTCCAATAATCCTGTTTTTTGTTGTTGTTGTTTGTTTGTTTTTCCTCTAGGTTTCTGGCCAAGACTTGCAGAGATTTTTCTGTTAATGAAACTGAGATTTTAATGGGTTTAGATGTATCTTCATGTGATTCTGACCCCAAAACTGGGAGGAAAGGATAAAGAGCAGCATCAATGTGGCTCTATCTGTAGAATAAATTATCTATATGATGAAAAAAATACGTTTTGTGTTAAAATTTTTGGTACAATCCAGCTGTGTTTTTATGTCCACATGAAATGAGTTTTAGTCTTTTTCTGCCTTACCAAAGCCTCTCTTCCTTAATTTTTTTTTTTTTTTTTTTTTTTTTTTTTTTTGAGACAAGGTCTCACTCTGTCACCCAGGCTGAAGGGCAGTAGTGAGATCATGGCTTCTGCAACTTTCGCCTCCCCGGCTCAAGCAATTCTCCTGCCTCAGCCTCCCAAGAAGCTGGGACTACAGGCATGTTCCACCACGCCCGGCTAATTTTTGTGTTTTTTGTAGAGACAGGGTTTCGCTATGTTGGCCAGGCTGGTCTCAAACTCCTGAGCTCAGATGACCTGTTAAGCTCGGCCTCCCAAAGTGCTGGGATTACAGGTGTGATCAACTGCACCTGGCCCACTCTTTCTTAATTCTAATCTGAGTTAGCCCTCAAGATGCTAGTGGGTGCTTGTATGTGTGTATGCATGCATGCGTGCATGTGTGTGTGCGTGTTTGTTGTGATGGTGGTAGGAGGGGAAACTTCATTCTGAGAAAGATATGAGGAAACAAAGGAAGCCCCTTGTCACAGGTGGCAAAAGCATAGTGCAAAACCCAAACCCCACCAAGAACAAATAAATATTCTGAATTTTACTAATTTTTCAGAAAAAAATACTTGTTTATACTTCTCATTAGCTCTCTGTGAGACAACTCTATGAACACATAATAAATTATTTGACTTTGTCTAGAAAAGATGATTTATATATTTATTTAAAGTTTATTAAATCTAAATGTATTTAGGTAATTTAAGTACCTAAAGACTAAAATGTAGTTTTGTGTAGTGCTCAGTTTATTAATGCGCAAAAATTCTGTAAATTTGCTAAAGAACATTACTCTTTAGCAGATACTATTCTTTATCACAAGAGGGAGAACTGGAAATGCCATGATCTTAGCTTAACAAGAGAATCATGGATTAATAAGTAAAATTATAAATCTGTGTAATAAAAAGGAAAAGTAGATATTTCTATATTCACTTAACTCTGTATGTAGATTTTTAAGCTATGTGAGAGAAATAAGAAGGGACCACTGAGGATGTGGAAAGTTAATTTGCATAAGCAGTTCTGTGATGAAAATAATAGACAAAAATCTACTAAGTTTAAGTTGACATTTGGGGTACCTAATGCAAATATGTCACACCCTTTAGTTTATTACTCCTTATCACGACTATCTTAGGGCACCAAATTTCTGGAGGTGGTGTCAGGGGTAGTAGTTGATTTTGGTGGATTTTGAGACAAAAAGTATTAGTCAGCTTGGACTGCTGTAGCAAAATACCACAGACTAGGTGGCTTAAATAACAAATATTTATTCTCACAGTTCTGGAGGCTGGGAAATGTTAGATCAATCTTCTGGCAGATCTGGTGTCTAGTGAAGGCACTCTTCCTGCCTTGCAGATAGTCATCATCTCATTGTTTCCTCAACTGGTAGAGAGCAGAGAGAGCAAGCTAGGTCTCATTTCTCTTTTTATAAGGGCACTAATTCCATTCATGAGGGCTCCACATTAATGAACTAATCACCTCCCTACAGCCCCACCTCCAAACACCATCACATTGGTGGGCAGGATTTCAACATATACATTTTAGGGAGACACAAATATTCAGTCCATTACAGCATGAGACTCTTACTAGTTGATATGGTTTGGCTTTGCGTCCCCACCCAAATCTCATCTTGAATTGGAATAATTCCCATGTGTGAAAGGTGTGACCAGGTCGAGGTAATTGGATCATGGAAGCAGTTTCTCCCATGCTGTTTTCATGATAATGAGTGAGTCTCATGAGATCTGATGATTTTATAAGCGTCTGGCATTTCCTTTGTTGGCACTCACTCTGCCTTGTCACCCTGTGAAGAAGGTGCCTGTGTCTCCTTTGTCTTCTACCATGATTGTACATTTCCTGAAACCTCTCCAGCAATGCAGAACTCTGAGTCAAATAAATCTCTTTCCTTTATAAATTACCCAGTCTAGGGTATTTATTCATAGCAGTGTGAGAATGGACTAATACAGTAAATTTATACCAAGGTAGTGGGGCACTGCTATAAAGATACCCAAAAATGTGCAAGCCACTTTGGAACTGGTTATGGGCAGAGGTTGGAAGAATTTAGAGGGCTCAGAAGAAGACAGAAAAATGTGGGAAAGTTTGGAATTTCCTAGAAACTTGAGGGCTCAGAAGACAGGAAGATGTGGGAAAGTTTGGAACTTCCTAGGGACTTGTTGAATGACTTTGACCAAAATGGTGATAGTGATGTGGACAATGAAGTCTAGGCTGAGGTGGTCTCAGATGGAGATGAAGAACTTGTCAGGAACTGGAGTAAAGGTCACTCTTGCTATACTTTTGCAAAGAGACTGGAGGCACTTTGCCCTACTCTAGAGATCTGTGGAACTTTGACCTCGAGAGAGATGATTTAGGGTATCTGGTGGAAGAAATTTCTAAGCAGCAGAGCATTCAAGAGGAAGCAGAGCATAAAAGTATGGAAAATTTGCTTCATGACTATGTGATAGAAAAGAAAAAAAATCCATTTCCTGGAAAGAAATTCAAGTCCACTGCAGAAATTTGCATAAATAATAAGGAGCCAAATGTTAATCACCAAGACAATGAAGAAAATGTCTCTAGAGCATGTCAGAGACCTTTATGACAGCCCCTTCCATCACAGGCCCAGAGGCCTAAGAGGGAAAAGTGGTTTTGTGGGCCGGGTCCAGGATCCCCCTACTCTATGTAGCCTTGGGACATGGTTCTGTAAGTCCCAGCTGCTTCAGCTCCAGTCGTGGCTTTAAGGGGTCAATGTGTAGCTCAGGTCATTGCTTCAGAGGGTTCAAGCACCAAGACTTGGCAGCTTTCACATGGTGTAGGTCCTGCAGGTGCACAGACATCAAGGATTGAGGTTGGGGAACCTCTGCCTAGATTTCAGAGGATTATGGAAATGCCTGGATGTCCAGGCAAAAGTTTGCTACAGAGGTGGATGCCCTATGGAGAAACTCTGCTAGGGCAGTGCAGAAAGGAAATGTTGGATTGAAACCCCCATACAGAGTCTCCACTGGAGCACTGCCTAGTAGAGCTGTGAGAAGAGGACCACCATCCTCCAGACCTCAGAATGTAAGATCCACTGACAACTTGCACTGTGCGCCTGAAGAAGCAGCAGACTCTCAATGCCAGCCCATGAAAAGAACCTGGAGGGGGGCTGTATCCTGCAAAACCATGGTGGTGGAGCTGCCCAAGGCCATGGGAGCCCACCTCCTATGGATGTGGGACATGGAGTCAAAGGAGATCATTTTGGAACTCTAAAGTTTAATGAGTGCCCTATGGATTTTGGACTTGCGTGGGACCTTTAGCCCCTTTGTTTTGGCTAATTTTTTCTCATTTGGAATGGATGAATTTACCCAAAGCTTGTACCCCCATTGTATCTAGGAAGTAACTAACTTCCTTTTGATTTTACAGACTCATAGGTGGAAGGGACTTGCCTTGTCTTAGATAAGAGGTTAGACCTGAACTTTGCATTAATCCCGGAATGAGTTAAGACTTCGGGGGATTGTTGGAAGGGCAAGGGCATAACTGTGTTTTGAAAAGTGAGGACAAGAGATATGGGTAGGGCCAGTGGTGAAATAATGTGGTTTAGCTCTGTGTCCCCACCCAAATCTCACCTTGAATTGTAATAATCCCCATGTGTTAAGGGCGGGACCAGGTGGAGGTAATCAGATCATGGCAGTGGTTTCCTCCATGTTGTTTTTGTGATAATGAGTGAGTCTCATGAGATTTGATGGTTTTATAAGCATCTGGCATTTCCCCTGCTTGCACTCACTCCATCCTGCCACCCTGTGAAGAAGGTGCTTGCTTCTTCTTTGCCTTCCATCATGATTGTAAGTGTCCTGAGGTCTCCCTAGAAATGTGGAACTGTGAGTCAATTAAACCTCTTTCCTCTATAAATTACCTAGTCTTGGGTATTTCTTCATAGCAGTGTGAGAATAGAGCAATGAACTAGTTATAACTTTTGGCATGTAAATTAAGCTCTCTGAATTTCAACTTTCTCACTGATAAGATGGGGAAAATAATACTTCACTTACAAAGTCAGTGTGAAAGAGATGACGTATTTAAAGTGTTTTACACATTACCAGACAATAAGTAAACATTCAACATGTATATTACGATTATATATCTTAATTTATTTTGCTGGGACTTTTTCCTCCATTTACTCCCATCTCATCCTCACAACGCTGATGACAAATGAAAACTGTTTTACTACAGTTCCTCTAACCTCACACACACACATACACTACTGTCCTTGTAGGAATTTTTATTAATTAAGATCACTTTTTCTCTTCCATCATTAATATCTGGGTAACTGCCACCAATTAATTGTTGTTGGCTAAAAAGTTGAAATCCAATTTCTATTTATAACTTAGAATGCAATAATATTTTATCTTCTGACCTTCCTAGTTGTGACAGGGAGCTCATTGTCATGTTAAATCTATTATATCTTTCTTCCATTTGAAAGAGAATGTTATGTGAGCATGTAGCTGCCTAGCCAAGAATTTTATTTCCAAGTCTCTTGAAAGTGGCCAACTTCAATTATGAAGATGAGAACAATTCCCTTGGTCTTAGGAAATGGTGGAGAAAGAAGAACCTCAGTCCCAGATAGAATGGCTGTCCCAAAACTGTCCCACTAATCTCCAAACTATTACAAAAAAGGTTAAAGAAACTGCTATTGTGTTTTAGAAAATCATTATCATAACATTTGCACCATACCTATGCAGAATTGTTACCAGAAATGGTCTATCCTCCCCAATGTAGCATGAATGTATCATGAAAATAGAAAATATTGTTGCTACCACTCTTTGGTATATAGGTGCATGTAGAATGATGCCAACAGGCTAGTGGACTAGCATGACCTTCTGCAGGATAATGATACAATCAAGTTTCCTGTGGACTAGACTTTGATAGAGAATTAGAGAGGGGATGTATCCCTGGGCTAACAAAACAAAAGTCTACTGTTGACCAATGATGCGGAGATTTTCTGCTATGTTTTCTTCACGTAGCTTTACAGTATCAGGTCTGAAATTTACATCTTTAATCCATTTTGAGTTGATTTTTGTTTAGGGTATGAGATAAGATGCCAATTTCATTTTTCTGCATGTGAATATACAGTTTTCCCAACACCATTTATTAAGGAGATTGTCCTTTCCCCATTGTATGTTCTTTTGGCAACTTTGTCAAAAATCAATTGATCATAAATACTTGTGTTTATATATGGATTTTCCATCGTATTCCTGTGGTCGATTTTATGCCAGTGCCATGCTGTTTTGATTATAATAGCTTTATAATATATTTGGAAATCAAGTAATGTGATGCCTTAAGCTTTATTCTTTCTATTCAAGATTATTTTGGCTCTTCAGAGTATCTCATGGTTGCATACAAAAGTTAGAATTATTTTTTCCATTTTTCTGAAAAAGCTGACTTTGGAATTTGGATAACGATTACATTTATCTTATATGTAAAAACCCTAAAGACTCCATGAAAAAAATAAATAAATAAATAAATAAATAAATAAATAAAACAGAACTGATAAATTCAGTAAAGCTTTAGGTTACAAAACTAACAACAAAAACCAGTAGCATTTCTATGCACTAACAACACACTATCTGAAAAATACTTTAAGAAAACAATACCATTAATAATAGCATCAAAAATACTTAAGAGTAAATTTAAGCAAGGATGTGAAAAATCTGTACACTGAAAACTAAAACATTGGTAAAAAATTACAGAAACAAATGGAAATACATTCCATGTCATGGAATGGAAGAATTAATATTGTTAAAATGTCCATACTTCCCAATGGGTTCTACAGATTCAGTGCATTCCTTACAGCATTTCATTTTCTTTCCTTGTTGCTCCAGTTAGCACTTAGAATAAATATTGAAAAACAAGAATAATAGCAAGTATCTTTATCTCACCTCACCTTATTTCAGAAGAATATCTTCAATTGTTCACTACTAAGTGTCTTGTTCACTAGATTATTTACAGTTACTCATTTTATCAGGTAGAAAGTTTATTTTTATTTCTGGCTTCAAAGAATTCTTAAAAATAAATGGGGGATAGCCAGGTATGGTGGCTCATGCCTATAATCCCAGCACATTGGGAGGCCAAGGCGGGCAGATCACCTGAGGTCAGGAGTTCAAGACCAGCCTGGCTAACATGGTGAAACCCCATTTCTACTAAAAATACAAAATTAGCCAGGTATGGTGGCGGACTCTGAGTAGTAATCCCACTACTCAGGAGCCTCTGGCACGAGAATCGCTTAAACCCTGGAGGTGGAGGTTGCAGTGAGCTGAGATTGTTCTACTGCACTGCAGCCTGGGTGGCAAGAATGAAGCTCTGTCTCTAAATAAATAAATAAATAGATAAATAAATGTGGGACATCGAATTTTATCAAGTGCCTTTTCTACAAGTGATAACATAATTATATAATTTTATTTTATTGTCTGTTAATGTGATATATTATATTATTAATTGATTTTTTAACATTAGTACCAGTCTATTCTTGAAACAAATCTTATTAGATTGTGATGTGTTTCACTCTGTATAGATTCACTTTTTATGGTTAAAAAAAGATTTACATTTATAGTAAAAAATACATAGATTTATTTTTTATAGTAAAAAATGTAGATTTACTTTTTATAGTAAAAAATACTAACATAGGTTAAATATTTTTTCAATTACTGAGATATTAAATATGATTTTTTGATTTCATAAATAACCTTGTTATTATGATTTTTAAAATTTTTGTCTTATGTAATGCTGGTGTTATATTTTACTTACCTGTTTATTAGATGTAATCATTGAAATAATATGTACCTACAGTTTGCTTTGTGAAAAAACTTTTATAACATTAATCTTCTTTAATGTTTGTTGAATTATTTAGATTTTTTATGTTACCATCTGTAAATTTTGGTAAGTTTTTCTTCCCAAAGATATTTGCCATACATATTTATTCAAGTTTATTGGCAGAAAATTATTCTTAATTTAAAAAATATATGTAGGATCTATAACGATGTCTTCACTTCTGATAAAACTAATTTTCATTTCTTATCTTTCTGTTGATCATTGTTACTAGAGTTTTATCAATTGTATTAATCTTGTAAAATAATAAACTTAGAGCTTGTCTAGTGTAGCCTATTTAATGTTTGTCTTTAATTATTTCTACTTATTATTATTGTTCTCTTAAGAGGTTGATTTGCTATCTAGATTACTTTTGTTTGTTTGTTTGTTTTAGAGACAGGGTCTCTGTTGCTCAGGCTGGAGTGCAGTGGTGCAATCATAGTTCACTGCATCCTAGAACTTTGGACTCAAGCAATCCTCCTACCTCAGCCTCCCAAGTAGCTGGGAATACAGGGAGACGCCACCACACATGGCTGATTTTTGTAATTGTTTTGTAAAAGTAGGGTCTTGCTATGTTACCCACACTGGTCTTGAACTCCTGGGCTCTATCAGTCTTCCTGCCTCAACTTCTCAAGTGTTAAGATTACAGGTATACACCACTGCACTCAGCTTAGATTCTTAAATTATAACATTAAATCATTAATTTTGAGCATATATATTATATATATATATGATACTTTAATTCCAAGTTATATATTCCTATATTAACTATGATTTAATTAGTTGCATCCTGCAAGGTTTTTATTTGGGGGGTGGTGGGGGCAGGGTCTCACTTTGTTGCCCAGGCTGGAGTGCAATGCCCACTATCATGGTTCTCTGCATCCTTGAACTCCCAGGCTTAAGCGATCCTCCCATTTCAGCCTCCTGTGTAGCGTGACTAGAGGCACCCACACCACACCTATATAATTTTAGTATTTTTTGTAGATATGGGGTTTTGCCATGTTGCCTAGGGTGGTCTAGAACTCCTGCGTTCAAGTGATCCTCCTGCCTTGGTCTCCTGAAGTGCTGGAATTACAGGTGTAAGCCACCACAACCAGCCTGTTCTGCAAGTTTTGACACACCACATAATATTATCATTTAATTAAACATGATTTATATTTTCTTCTATGCTGCCTTCTTTATTCTATTAGTTATTTAGAAATACATGTTTTAATTTCCAAACAGTTGAAGATGTTTTAGCTATATGATGGCGTTTTCTACTTTAATTCCATAGTGGTTATAGAGTATACTTTGGATGATTTTACTTTTTGGAATTTATTAACATATGTGGATTTTATGTGTGTATGATATTTACAGTAGAATGGGGAGAGTATGCTTAAACTAGGTTCACACTTGGCTTAATATTCTGCTGTTGTAATCCTGAAATTCTTAGCTACTTTGAGCATAGATTCACATACTTTGTCTTGCACTGGGCCTCACAAATTATATATCCTGCCCTGCAGTAGGGTCATGATTGCTAACTGTGTTGTTTTCATCTTTTAAAATAATCAGGTTATATAAAAAATATAGCAGGTACAGATAATGCCTTCCTCTTCTAGTGGAGATTCACTGATTTCTCCTCTAGTCAAAAAGTAAAAGGGTAATTCCATTAATCTCTTTAGAAACTAAGATCAGATGAGGTTGGGTTGCATGTTTTCCTAGTGAGTTTACATTGTTTGAAAAAACATTAAAATGTTCATGATCCTCCTTGTTCTTATCATATACTTTTTGTCTTATATTTTCACTATCCAAAAGCTAAAATATAGAAATAATCCTTCACATTATGCAATATTTTACTCTAGTGGCTAGAGAGGAGTCTCCTTAATAATAGGTCAGTATATCTTCTTTCTGTGTCTAGAAATGGTAAGCAGTTTTGTTCGTGCCATCTTGGCTTCCTGTTTAAACCTTCTTTTGGGACATAACCCATCCTCCCTTTTGGAATTAAACATCCTTGTTGCAACTTATCCATTTTTTTCTTTCTTTTATCTGGTCTACATCAGTCCCTGAAACCAATTCTTAACACATCCACCTGAAGATAGCTCATCAATATCATCTATCTGATTTCCATTCCACTAAAGTTAAGAGATATGCTATTTGAGAGTATCTATAAATTCTCCTGAGATACATTTGAAAAACCTTCATCCATATTGCCCTGCTCAGTGAAATACATTAATGGGAAAGACACGTTTCAGATAAGGCTTTAATTTGTCATTACAGCCATGTCAAAAATATAAATGATTATTATATCATTGGGGTATTAGCTATAAAACATTTTTTACAGGATTATGAGCTAAATGCTTTGTGATTATCTGGATGAATAACTTATTGCTTAGGACATAACCAAGAGCTACAAGAGCCTTTACAGTGTTAGGTCGCTGAGGAAAACTATTGCTTACATGAATCTATATGCTTAATAAACATATCAAAATGAAATTACAGATGTGAACTATATTAACGGAGAGTAGTGAATTTTATTTCAACCACATAGTAACAAATTGAAATGTCATGCACCAAAAGAAAAGCTCTTGGGAGCATTTGTTGACTAAAAAATGTTTTCTTTGAAATAACTATTCCTTGCAGTTAATCATACATAATTATTTTATTGTAAGTTATGCTGATGTTATCACTTAGAATTCTGAAATCTGATGGAAGATACATTCACTTAGCAAGGGAAAATACATTACTATCAATGACAAACTAGACAGAAGCTATCTTGGCTTAACAGCTGGGCATTTTTGTCAAGATATGTGACTAGTTTAATGGTTACCAAATGACATAATTCCCAGAAGTCATGTTTGTCTTATTTACTGGTCTCTCCTATAACAAAGCTGATGAAGATCACTAACTTAAAAGCCTCAAAAGTAATAGATACGAATAACAACCAACCTAAATGGAAAATAAGACATTTTCTTTTCCTTTTATAAATAGTATTTTCCATTCAATAAACTCTGAAGTTTGCAAAATGGATGCATGCATAAGGGTTGATATTCTACATTTTCCACAGAGATGTTCACCATGTATTCTTTTTTTAAAATAACTTTAAAAGATGCTTTCACCAATAACTCTTTTGTACATGAGAAGCACGTATAGATTTAATTTTACCAACTTCATCACTTTGTTTCAGGGCTATAGCAGGAGTTTTAATGACAGAAAACAACAACTCT
This sequence comes from Homo sapiens, assembly GCF_000001405.40. Lineage (NCBI taxonomy): Eukaryota > Metazoa > Chordata > Mammalia > Primates > Hominidae > Homo > Homo sapiens. Next base: position 57,245,800 of record NC_000010.11, read on the forward strand.
CACAAAGTGACTCAAACAAATAAGGAAACATAAGGTACATTAAAAATTTCTATATGTAAAAGCTCTACAAATGCATTTATAACAATAATATTTCCATTAAATGTTTTCTTTCACACCTGAATTTTATATATACACACACACACATACACATCTATAAATATACACTCATACATGTGTATATAATTCAAATTATTCTTTTGACTTCAGTAATCATAAATTATCTTTATCATTGACCAATGTAGATTACTTATAATTTTTCTTAGTTGATTTTACAACTATGAACACCCCAAAACTTAAAAATTAATAAAACCCCAAAATACCAAATGAATTAACAGCATGATTTTTGCAGGATAGGTGACTTTTCAATGTTAGCAATAAATAATTGACTTGGGGTTTAGAACTGAGCAATATTAGGCCAAGTCCAATACTGTATTTAATTCATTTTTCTGTTTTGACTTCAATTATTCTATTGCAGAGTATACCTCTTTATATAACTGCATTGTAGAATATAGAATTAAAATGTTAAGCCTTCCTATTTATTTGAATACTCTTTAAGAATGAGTTATTGCTACTTTTTAGTATGTGTCATTTAGTAATTGTAAAACTAGCCACTTAAATATAAACTTCAATTATATCAATTAAATCAATTATATATTTTAGTTCAATTAAAATTTTATGTATCAATTAAATCATATTTAAATTGATATCTACTTCAATTATTTATTGAATGTTTCCTACAGCTTCATAGCAGGTATTTGCAAGTTGGTACACAGAACATGTGATGTTGAGCACAGAAATACTCTCTTCAAAGTACAAATATGATACACTCTATTGTTTTTATGTGGGGGCATACACTAAAGTAAGCTCTGTGACAAATTAATTTCCTCAACTCTTTGTTCTATTTAAAGCACTGCAAAGTTTTATTTGCATAGTATACAATACAATGTGACTTTTATTTAATGCAAACATGACAGAAAACGTTCAAATTTAGGTGTGTAAATGTTTAGGACTCCAGATATAATAGTCATTATATACAATATGCTAGTGTTACTGATAGGGACAGGAGGCAGAGAAATTTTAGGTAGAAAAGTAGAAAAGGGTGGGGTCCCTGGCAAGGGCCCCACCCTCAAGCCTGGAACTGTGGCCCAAAGCGAGACCTTTACTTCCCCTTTGTCCCACCTGAATGTTGCCTTTTCCAAAACCACTCCTGGCCTGCCCGACATCCTGTACCCATAAAAACCCCTACCCGCCTGGCAGAGAGCAGAGAAGGAGAGAAGAGAAGAAGCAGTCAGACATCGGAGAGAAGCAGTTTGACTTCAGGGAGATGGCTTGAGGGCAGGACTTGGGAGAAGGGTTCCACCTGACCGCTGGACTCTAGGGAAAGATCGCCTTCCTGCTCCATCCCCCTCCCAGCTCTCCTACTGCTGAATGCCACTTTCATCAGCAATAAAATCCTCTGCATTTACCACCCTTCAATTTGTTTGTGTGACCTCATTCCTCCTGGATGCTGGACAAGGACTCGGGTTCAATTGCAAAAGGCTGTCACACTGACCCTCCCCTGAGCTGTTAACACTTAAGCCATCCTCAGACAGCAAAGGTAAAAGAGCGCACTGTTACACACACTCTCTGGAGCTTCAGGGGTTGCAGGTATCCCCCAGAAGCTGCTGCAGGGCTGCACACAAAAGCAGGAGATTTGCTCCTGCCCGTGCTCAGAAGCACTCACTTGAGCTCCTGTACCTGCTCACCCACTTGCTTCCCCTCCCCTGAGGGGCTGAAAGCTGCAGGCCAAGTAAGCAAGTTATCCTGCAAAGGGGTCAAGGAAAAGTTTCTCTTTCGTTATTTTTAGGAATATCACAGAAAAAAAGCACAAAATTGTTAAAATCTTGCAAATAATAAATGACACTCAAAGAACATCACACATAATTCCATATGTATCAATTTGAGCAACATTGCACTGAGCCACAATAAATCTGTGCAGAACAAATTATATCCTTTTACTATAAACATTAAACAATATAAAACAACACATAATTTTCCTGTGCTTTGTTATCACCATCATAACCATCATTTTGATGTGTATTATTTAAACTTTGTGTGGACCTAGTGTTCTAGACAATTCTATTATCAGAAAGATGAACCTCTCTTGTCCTTCGGTAATTAATAGTTTCATTTGCATCTACTCGCACATTCAACTTTTCATTCAGTTCTGAAAGTACACATGGGTTCACTCATTCATTCTTTCATTCACTTCAGAAAGCACACATCCTCTCCAAGTATTCTTTGCAGTACAATAGGAAAAATTATATTGTTACTAAGTGACAGCAAACAGAATATCATAAAATATTGGCATTTTGAGGCTTAGCAGAGATAACTGTAATCTATTTTGACTTCAGTTATACAATTATAAAATACATATTTTAATATAATTATACTGCACAATATAAAATTAAAAATATTGTCTTTATATTTATCTACCCCCACAGCAAACAAATTTACTTTTTTTTTGAGATGGAGTCTTGCTCTGTTGCCAGGCTGGAGTGCAGTGGCGCGATCTCAGCTCACTGCAACCTCTGTCTCCCAGGTTCAAGCGATTCTCCTGCCTCAGCCTCCCGAGTAGCTGGAACTACAGGCGTGCGCCACCACACCTGGCTAATTTTTGTATTTTTAGTAGAGACGGAGTTTCACCATGATGGCCAGGATGGTCTCGATCTCCTGACCTCATGATCTGTCTGCCTCTGCCTCCGAAAGTGCTAGGATTAGAGGCGTGAGCTAACACGCCCAGCCACAAACATACTTTTTTGGATGTGACACTTAATAACTAGGAAGCCAGACATTTTAGTTAAAAAATAACTTAAATCTGCAGTGTTAATGAATCCTGAATTAAGTGGATATCTCTTCCAATTATTCTTGAAATAGAACGTATTTATAAATATTTACTACTGCTTTATAGTAAATTGCTTCAAGTTGAGAGAATGGAGAATGGTAGCAAACTAATTAAAATTTGAAGTGTAACTAACACCGTAACATATGTCTAAAATTAATGTCTGATAGATGAGTGCTCAAAATAGAAAGCATAATTTAAAATTTACTTATTAAAGGATTTAAATATTAATAATATTTTGATGTATAAACATTGCTAATGCAAAAGTATTTGTGAACATACGGAATTATAAACACATACAGAAAAGATGGTTTGCTCTTTTATAAAAAGAAAATATTTGGGTTGGGTCATTAAAGATTACCTTTGTCCATCATAGATTTAAAAACAAAGATCTAGACAAAACTTATTTTTATCTCCACATAACTAGGGAATGAGGGAACCAAAAATGAAAGCTTAGCTTTCTTCACCTTTTCTACTCATTTCTTCAGTTTGAACTGAAAAAAAAATAGAATTTTCTCAAGTAAAATAAGTTCACTTTAAACAAAAGGTGGTTCGCTGGTTTAGGATAGCTCTTAACATTTTCTGAAGATAATGCTTTGTTTCATGCAGTATTAAATCCTTATTAACAAGTGTTTATGGTATATTCAGAAGCTTAGAAATTTTTCTCTGACTTCTGCAGATGTTCTTCCGAGTAAATATTTGAGAAACACTGAAGAATGCATACATTAACTGCTGCCTAATCTGGTGGTATGGAAACAGGCCCTGAGTAATAGAGTGCTGGCACAGAGTAGACACCAATTCTTTACTGAAAAATTAAATATAGGAATAAACACATGGCAACTAAGCATTAGGAAATGCCAGAACCTGAGTTATTTGAAGGCAAAAACTATGTCTCTTTCATCTCCAAATATTTGTAATTTAGTCTTTTAATTTAGTTCCCTGGAAACAGAATGTGAGAGAGATTTTCACGTAGAAGTGAGAGGTGACAGCATGCTGACCGCCCTCGCAGCCCTCGCGCTCTCTCGGTGCTTCTTCCTCCTTGGTGCCCATTCTGGCTGCGCTTGAGGAGCCCTTCAGCCCGCCGCTGCACCATGGGAGCCCTTCTCTGGGCTGGCCGAGGCCAAAACCAGCTCCCTCGGCTTGCCGGGAGGTGTGGAGGGAGAGGCACGGGCAGGAACTGGGGCTGCGCACGGCCCTTGCGAGCCAGCTGGAGTTCTGGGTGGGCATGGGCTTGGCAGCCCCACATTCAGAGTGACCCACCGGCCCTGCCAGCCCCAGGCAGTGAAGGGCTTAGCACCCGGGCCAGCAGCTGCAGAGGGTGTGCCAGGTCCCCCAGCAGTGCTGGCCCACCGGCTCTGCGGTCGATTTCTTGCTGGTCCTTAGCTGCCTCCCCGCAGGGCAGAGCTCGGGACCTGCAGCCTGCCATGCCTGAGCCTCCCCTCCCCCGGCCACGGGCTCTTGCACAGCCTGAGCCTACCGGAGAGCGCTGCTCCCTGCTCCACAGCACCCAGTCCCGTCGACCACTCAAGGGCTGAGGAGTGCAGGCGCATGGTGCGGGACTGGCAGGCAGCTCCACCTGCAGCCCCAGGGCGGCATCCACTGGGTGAAGCCAGCTGAGCTCCTCAATCTGGTGAGGACTTGGAAAATCTTTATGTCTAGCTAAGGGATTGTGAATGCACCAATTGGCACTGTGTATCTAGCTCAAGGTTTGTAAATGCACCAATCCACACTCTGTATCTAGCTAATCTAGTGGGGACATGGAGAACTTTTGTGTCTAGCTCAGGGATTGTAAATGCACCAATCAGCACCCTGTCCAAACGGACCAATCAGGTCTCTGTAAAACAGACCAATGGGATCTCTGTAAAATGGACCAATCAGCAGGATGTGGGTGGGGCCAGATAAGGGAATAAAAGCAGGCTGCCCAAACCAGCAGTGGCAACCTTCTGGTCATACTGTGGAATTCTTGTTTTTTCACTCTTTCCAATAAAGCTTGCTATTGCTAATGCTTTGGGTCCACACTGCCTTTATGAGCTGTAACACTCACCACAAAGGTCTGCAGCTTCACTTCTAAGCCAACAAGACCACGAACCCACCAGAAGGAAGAAACTCCAAACACATCCGAATATCAGAAGGAAGAAACTCCGGACACGTCGCCTTTAAGAACTGTAACACTCACCACGAGGGTCCGTGGCTTCATTCTTCAAGTCAGTGAGACCAAGAACTCACCAATTCCGGACACAGAAGTTTATTGGGCAGTGCTCTTAGAAACAGCCATCTTAAGGGGAGGAAGCTGGTAGGACGAGGGGGAAGAATTTGAATTGTAATGCAGTGGTAACAGACACCATAGGGGCTCCCAGAGAGATCATGGAAGCTAGTGTGACAGTTCAGTTAAACCACATTGTGTCAAAGGGAACAGATGTTTGTACCCCTGAATCAACCAGTTACTGAATGAAAGCTACTACTGGGGAGACAGCATGAACTTAAAAAAAAAGCTGTCTTTTATAAATGCAAATTGCTGAGCAAAGAATGGCTGTTAGTAGCCAACATGTTCAAAACGTGGGAGACTGTATAGCTTAGTCCAAAAGGGGGTTGTGTGTGGCACACCATATCATCCACTACACATAGAGAAATCTTAATGCCAATGGATTTTAACTTTTTTCCATTTTTTTTCTTTTCATCTATAAGATGGAAGGGGAATTTGTGTGTGGGTATAGATGTTGGGTATAGAGAGATAAGTTTCACATGATACAAGATAAATTGTCCCTGTTCTTAGAACATAGGCAACAACTGATGAGAAAGAGAGGTATAGTGTGACAAGTGCCTCACCTAGCTAGGCAAAGGAATATGCTCACCACCTGAACCTTGAAGGCTGGGCAGTGAGCCAAGGCTATTGGGTTCAGCAAAGGAGCAGGTGTTCCTAAGAACCTAAACATCCCAGAAAGTGTTTGAGAACCTACCAAGGAAACCAGTCTCATCGTTTAAACACAGTAGGCAAAGAGCCAGAAAATAAGCATAAAAGTAGTTTAGAGACAAGGGGCAGCGGGGATGTCTAAAGCCCTCCTGCTAGCATCCAGGAGTTTCTCATATATGATACGTAATAAACTCATCTACTTGCCAAGTTGGATTTGTCAGGGCATTTTTGGTCTCTCAACTTGCTTTGTTTGGGGAAAGATTTTTTTTTAATGTGATTCTGGGTTTTCTCACTGTATGAGGTATTTTAATAAATATTTTATATGGATTCTATGTTGTCTTTGGGCTCTAAATTGATATAGTTTTTTTGTTATGCTATAGTCATCTTTAGTCTTTCTTCAGCATTGAAGATATCAAATGAGTCTACAGTTTACAGGTGCTATCTTTGGTTTATATCTTTATTTTCTATTATGAATGGGTAAAGTTCCAATCACTAATAACCCCTATTTCTGGGGGAGCTTCCATATGTTACTGCTGATGTATTTAATGTTAAATAATGATAGAAGTCTAGAACGAATAAGCCAAATTTGTACAGAAATGCAACTGAAAGTTTAATAATTCTTATTTGTTTCCTTTATGTTTGTTATGAAAATAGGAGACATGGGAACTCCCTTCATGTGCAAATTCTGATCTAGCCTGTAAGATACTCTGTACTTCGCATTTCTGATGAACAGGCTAAAAGTGGAAATGTCTCTGTGTGAGGAGAAGAAACTCAGGGAAAGGATGTTGCTGGCTACCTTGTGGAGGAAGATGGTTTCCAAATAGTATTATATTATTTGGTACAAAGAGAAGGAAGACTAGGGCTTATGCACTTTTAGCTCCAACCTTGGCCATCAATTCATAAAAAGAGAATGGATTAAAGAATTTCTCAAGGTTCAATTGAACTATGCAATTCACACTCGTGGTGTTTCTATGTCCCATGTACTCTTTTATATGCTTTACAGAAATTATATAATTAAATATTCATAAGAATGCTATAAAACAGATGCTAAAATCATTCTTATTTCACAAGTGAAGACACTAAATTATAAACATGTTAAGAAAGATACTAAATACTAGGTATCGAGTTACTACAGAATTTTGGGAATCAACCCCCATTTGTCTCTTGTTCCAGAGTGCATGCTATAAAAACTACTCTATGTTGGAATCAGAGTACCCCTATTCCCTGTTCCTCATTTTACACCATTAAGAAAGAGAAGATTGAAAATAAGTCAAGCATCAAAACAGAACTGAAAAGTGCCTAATAACAATATACTACCTTATTTATTAAATATTTGTAAGTGCTTTTAATGTAAAAAACCATGCATTTTATCAGGGCCAGCTAAAGGTGGCCCTTGATTTTCTTTTTGATATATTACCTCCATGCTCCCACTCTCCCTCCACAAATTCTATCCCTGCATCTACAATTCCAAGCCATTTCTAAATTTTGGTCAGATTTTACAGTTTTCCACACAAATATCAGATAAAAATGAATTTCAGTTTATAGATGTGTCTTCACAACTAATCAGATTAAGATATTTTAAAAGATGTTCTTCTGTGTGTGGTATTCTTATAAAATAATATATAATGTCTGATTTAAGTCAGTGGGTATTTGAAAATCTCAGAGGAGACAACAGTTATAGAGAATAGGCAGACGGGTAATTTCTGAAAGTCAGAGGGAAAATGATGGCTTTCTGATTTTTAACTAGCAATGATGGTCACACACGGCAGGATCTCTTTTGTATACAGCTGTCTACAGAGGAAGCAGTGAAATAAAAGTGGAAGTTCACAAGAGAACAAAAGGACATACATGTGTGTTTGTTCGTTTACCCTAGAAAACCCTTACAACAATGTCTCCTCATCTGCAAATTTCCTTCTATAGGAGGTGTTGCTATGCAGGAAGTAGGCACAAATGGTACACGTTGCACATGCCAGTGGACACAATGAATCAATTATAGAGAATTGGATACATTTGAATTACTGCCATTGTTTAATTAATTTTGCATTCCCATTATAGATGCAACAAATCAGGGTTGGTCCAAATTGCTTTTACTCAATCTGAGTGGCTTTGTTGAAGGTTCATACTTTGATAGTCTGATCACTGCTTCATTAAAACAACAGTTAGAAATTGGCTTGAGGTATCTGGACCACTAGCTTCACATTTAGGAATGTGTACTGAGAAAGAAAAAAGTGTCCCCTGACATCTGGAAACTGACCTGACACTAAAGATTAGTCTCCATGTTGTTAGAAACTGGGCTGACATTCACAACTAAATTGTAGTGTCCTCCTGTGGAACATAAATATCTCAAAACACCTACATCAGACAAAGTCACTCTGTCATCATGTGTCTATGACGATGTGAGAGAAAGAAACAAAAAAGACCATTTCATTATCTCATCCGAGCATAGACAAACAAGGTCATCATTAAATCAGAAAATATCAAACACCTCCCTCTCCCAGCTAAGATGACTACTGAGTCTTTACCAACTGCAGCTTTGTCCTTATTTCCTCCTGCCTTCTAGATAAAAATTATTAAGATTCTCAGTTATGAAATTTTCCTCACTTCCGGCCAGCATTCAATCCATAGAAAAGCTCAATTTCCTTCAAGGCTACACAGATTCACTTAATATAAGGCCTTTCTAACATCCTATGAGTTGCCCTGTGGGTTCCCATAGTGAGTCTCCCTCACCGTGTTGCATTAATAAACCTCACTGGTTAAATTATAGTTGTGTTCTTTGGCTAATAGAATAGATATTTGAAATTTACTTTAAAATATGTTAAAAAAGCATGATAAGTATATGCGTTTGTGTGTGTGTGTATATATATATACATACATATATATAACAAATACAGTGGTGTTAATAATAAATTTAATAATGTGCATTATAAATATATGCAATTTTATTTGTAAATTGAAAATAAATTAAAATGTAAAAAGTTACATGTAGATATATGGGTGCATACTATAAACTTCTTTCACCTTTATTGGATATTTGAAAATTATTTGTACTATTAATTTAAATGGAAAATAATACACACACACACACACATTTTTCCTTTTCCTCTACCTGCTTGTACCTTAGAAATACAGTCTTCCCTCTGTATCCACAGGGGATTGGTTCCAGGAACCCTGTTGATACCAAAACCCACAGGTGCTCAAGTCCCTTATATAAAATGCCATAGAACTTGAATATAACCTGCACACACCTTCCCATATACTTACATCATTTCTAGATTACTTATAATACATAATATAATGTAAATGGTGTGCAAATATTTGTTATGCTGTCTTGTTTTTATTTAAATTATTTTTGTTGTTTTTTTATTTATTTATTTTTTCTGAATATTTCCCATCCACAGTTGGTTGAATCTACATAGGTGGAAAATGTGGATAGGGAGAGCTGACCATATGTTGAACACTTAATGAAATATTATTGCAGTTTATGGTCATATAGGTCTTCTTTTGAAAATATGAAATTAAAAAATGTGTAAAAATGCGATTTTAAAGACTCCAACATTAATTCCCTTTGTTTTTTGTTTCGTTTTGTTTTGTTTTGATGATTGGTGTATTACTGAATTCCTGTTTGTACTTATTTCATGTGAAACTGATGTTTTGGGGGGTTATATGGTAGTCGCATGTATCCTTTTTTTAATTTCAATAGGTTTTTGGGGAACAGGCGGTATATGGTTACATGAATAAGTTCTTTAGTGGTGATTTCCGAGATTTTGGTGCACCCATCTCCCAAGCACTGTACACTATACCCAATGTGCAGTCTTTCATCCCACAATCCCCCTCACCCTTTCCCCCAAGTCCTCAAAGTCCATTGTATCATTCTTTTTTTTTTTTTTTTTTTTTTTTTTTTTTTTTTTTTTTTTTTTTTTGAGACGGAGTCTCGCTCTGTTGCCCAGGCCGGACTGCGGACTGCAGTGGCGCAATCTCGGCTCACTGCAAGCTCCGCTTCCCGGGTTCACGCCATTCTCCTGCCTCAGCCTCCCGAGTAGCTGGGACTACAGGCGCCCGCCACCGCGCCCGGCTAATTTTTTGTATTTTTAGTAGAGACGGGGTTTCACCTTGTTAGCCAGGATGGTCTCGATCTCCTGACCTCATGATCCACCCGCCTCGGCCTCCCAAAGTGCTGGGATTACAGGCGTGAGCCACCGCGCCCGGCCATCATTCTTATACCTTTGTGTCCTCATAACTTAGCTCCCACTTACAAGTGAGAAATACGATGTTTGGTTTCCCATTATTCCCACTTAGAATAATGGTCTCCAATTCCATTCAGTTTGCTGTGAATGCCATTATTCCATTTCTTTATATGGCTAAGTATATTCCATGGCATGTAAATATATATATATATATGCCACATTTTCTTTATCCACTCATTGATTGATGGGCATTTGAGCTGGTTCCATATTTTTGTGAATTGAGTTGCTATAAATATGAGTGTGCCACTAACTTTTTTCCTGTAATGACTTTTTTCCTCTGGGTAGATACCCAGTAGTGTGATTGCTGGATCAAATGCTAGATCTACTTTTAGTTCTTTAAGGGATCTCCACATAGTGGTTGTACTAGTTTACAATCGACCAGCAGCATAAAAGTGTTCCCTTTTCACCACATTCACACCAACTATTATACTCCTCATTTTTTTATTATGACCATTCTTACACAAGTAAGGTGGTATTGCATTGTGATTTTGATTTGCACTTCCCTGATCACTACTGATGTTGAGCATTTTTTCATATGTTTATTGGCCATTTTCTCCTTTTGAGAATTGTCTATTCATGCCCTTAGCTCAATTTTTGATGAGATTGTTTGTTTGTTTGTTTGTTTTTCTTGCTGATTTGAGTTCCTTGTAGATTCTGGGTATTGGTCCTTTGTTGGATGTATAGATTGAGAAGATTTTTCTCCCAGTCTGTGGGTTATATGTTTGCTTTGCTGATTCCTTATTCTGCTAAGAAGAAGCTTTTTAGTTTAAGTCCCATCTATTCATCTTGGTTTTGATGCATTTGCTTTTGGTTCTCTATCATGAAGTCTTTGCCTAAGCCCGTGTCTAGAAGGGTTTTTTCCAATATTATCTTCTAGAATTTTTATGGTTTCAGGTCTTAGATGTAAGTCTTTGATCCATCTTCAGCTGATTTTTGTGTAAGGTGAGAGATGAGGATACAGTTTCATTATTCTACATGTGGCTTGCCAATTATCCCGGCACCATTTGTTGAATAGGATGTCCTTTCCCCACTTTATGTTTTTGTTTGCTTTGTCAAAGATCAGTTGGCTGTAAGTATTTGGCTTTGTTTCTGGATTCTCTATTCTGTTTTATTGGTATATGTACCTATTTTTAATATAATTACCATGCCGTTTTGGTAGCTGATTTTAAAACATATAATAATAGCAAAATAATTTATTTATTAAACTCCGAAATAATTATTGGCTTTTTGAGTCCTTGCACCTATGCCTTAGCATAGCCAAAGGATTTAGCATGCTTTTGATATTTAAGATGGGATAAGTTTTGGGTATTCATTTTTATTAAATTAATTAATTTTAATTTTATTTTCTCATGTACATAGCTATGCATAGCAAGAGGAGAAATTTTATAAATCCTTCTATTTCACAAGAATATATGCACTTGGCACCCTGCATTGAAACTTTATGCCAGATAAAAAATGCTAGAACATGACCCCATCACCCCTTCATACGTCTATTTCAATATTGTCCCTAAAACAGAGATAGCAATGAAAATCCTAATTTTAACTTTGCATTAATTTTCATTATTTCTCTCATGGCTATGGTATAAAAATATCTATGTCTTTCCTATCATCCAATCTTTCTTTTTTCCTTGCCCAATATTTCATTTACATGTAGAAAATACCACTGCAGGAAAACTGTTCAAGGCCATCCCTCTACTCCTGGTCTTTAAAGAATACACCACACAACATTGATTTTGTTCTCATATTAATCACTCAGCCTTCACAGGAACACTACTGGATGTGATCTCTCAAAAAGACTCAGCCCTAGCTATCAACTCAAGTGCTGTCAGTAGTATCCATTGGACCCATAGAAAAATATAGACATGCTGTTCCAGCAAGTCTCTGGAAATGTATGAAACTCCTTTTGCTGGTCTCTCTGCTTTCCTCGCTGTTTTGGGCTGTTTCAACCATGCTTGGCCCTTCATGTTTTGCAAACGATAACAATAACTAGGCATCAATCTCTTTACTTACCAAATCTAGGACACATAGGTCAAATTCTCCCTATATGCTCTCACTCTACTCATGGCAGCCCCTGAGCTTCACATTTCTGCATGTCACGTCTCTCCCATCTTTTGCAGGCAATCCTAATTTATATACTGGTTTTCATGGAAATATCTGATTTGAATTGGGGAACAGGAACACCTTTCATCCTCCCCTGTGGCTCTCAATGACTAAAATTGAATTTAAAAAAAGATTTAATGAGTCACTAACCTTCTTTTCTAAGGACTGGGAGGGCTGACGGGGATGAAAATTTAAGTTATCATTTTAGTTTACTTTTTGGCAAGTTCTTTAGTATAGATTTGACACCATTTTTTTGTAACATGCAAACAAATATTACCTATTACCTGCATCTTTTCATCTCAGGAAGTTTTGATCTCTGAAACACACTTGTCTTTACTTTTCCTGTAATGTGGATAGTCAGACATTTAAATACATGGGTTTGAAACCACAGCCGTTTGGCTTATTATTTATATATTTTTTAGTAATTCTATAACCTTATAGTGGTCTTAAAAAAAAAAAAACTTTGTAGGAGCTTTTTGCATAAATCTCCAGGCCCATAGTCACACTTCATTTTGTAAGCCATCATTCAGTGTGTCTGCCGTTTACTCTCTGATTCTTTCCTCAGGAGGAAGACTCTTTTCATAAATGCACAATGCACCCAAAATGCATTATTCATGAGTTTGAATTGCCTGGGCTTCCAGTCATAATATACACATTTCAATCTTCGAGATATTAAGATTTTTGTAAGTTGATTTTATTCTTTAAATAGACACATAGACTGGTTTTGAATGTGCATTCTAAGATTTTCCCAAACTTGTGAAGGAGAAATATATCACTCAGGGAAGGATTCGTTAGTGACATTCTGTCCCAGTGCATCAGCAAGACAATGGGGCTTAATAATATATTGCCAGGTGTAACATATCACCGAGCACTGGGGCAAGGAAAGAAGTCACTTTAATCAATTATTAGTGCTATGTTTCATCAAGGTGTCACCAGTTGGCTCTCAAGAACACAAACCTGTGTAGGAGAGGTTATAATATTGTTACTTTCATTAGTAGTATCTTTGAATTCCAGGTGATTAAAAAAAATTGTTAAGGACTCTTCAAAAAGTAAGTGTAGTGATTTCAATGTTTATGCAAACACTGCCAATGCTGTCATGTAGCAAATTAAAATGTTAAATGACTCTTCGAAATTTTAAGGTATTTGAAAATTCTACTCACGAAATTGTAACTAATTTTACATTCTTAAGAGTACACATGATTATAGATAATGGGATAATGACTATTTAAAAATTACTTTAAAGGACTTACCTATCTACAGCCATACATACACATATTCAGAAACACTAAAACAGAGAACTCCTTATCTGTCTTTATATCTTTTCTATATATGTTGATGTAGATTTATCTAGTCATATATTCCAAAATAATCATAAAATAGTCTCATCAAAGCTATCCACTTAGTCTTCCTTTCCTTTAACTCTTAAATTTTAATATAATCCTAATTAAAATAATATATTTGGTTCTTTAATTTTCTTCCCAAGCAAATCCCTATTCTGTAAATTTTCAGAGTAAATTTTCAAGCTCAAAAAGAAAAGCTATCTTGAACATTTGCTTTGAGTAAACATTTGTTTTTTAAAATATATTGATTACAAATATCACAAGAGAATGTTGTAAATCTGGATTAGAGAGGCAAAAAAAGTGGTTAGTAGGTCTCTCTTCCAGTTTCTGTACTCACAGAGAAATGTTTAGCTATACACAGGGGCCAGGTCCAACCAATCACAAAACCTCATTAACAGGTCCTTATGTGTGACTTTCCCTGTTGTCTCAGATTTCTATATGAAACTGGAAAATGAGGATAGCAGACAATATTTGCCTACACATTCTGAAAAATATAATGTAATGTAATGTAAAGCTAATTAGGCTTTGTGGATAGATGTTTCAAAACTTTAAAGTAAAACGTCTTCAGTGTGCCATTACTACATGCTTCGTAATGCCACATTTTTGAGCATTCCGGTGTGCTCACTTTTTCTCTCCCTCTTTCATATTCTGTTTTTAAAACCTCATATGAACTTTCTACATGTGTCTCTATGCACCTAATCGCACTTTATCTTGCAAACCATTGCTCAGTGTATTTACCTTTTCCCATGAAATTATCTCCTCAGGAAAAATATCGAGAGAGAGAGAGAGAGAGAGAATTACATATATATATATATATATATAGAGAGAGAGAGAGAGAGAGAGAGAGACTTCATATATATATATAGAGAGAGCATATATATATAGAGAGATAGCCGTGTGTGTGTATGCATACAAAGTAAAATATTTTAACCAACAACTAATCTGCAGCCTCTTTCTCATGTGCTATACTCCCCTTTATCTGCCTTACTCTGTCCTCTCTGATTTCTAAATTTCTATATGTTCTGTATTCATGGTGACTAACTAAACTTCAGCTTTACTCAGTCCTTGTACATTATTTTGTGAGTCACAGTTCCTCCTGCTGATGTGGTTAATGTTTCTGATTCACGGCCCTTCCATCACTTTCCCTCTGCCTTGGTGGAATTGAGGGTGATACTTAAAATATTGAGAAACAAATAAAGTAGTAGCTCATATAAAGTATTTACCCTTTAGTTACACGGAAAATCTTGGGAAGAGTATAGAGCAGTGAATGTGCAAGGAAGTACTTGGTGGCTTAGAATCTCAGTCAGTTTGCCAACTAGTTTAAATATAACATATTAGTGATTACTGCAGTTGTTTTGTTTTTAATTTTTTAATTTATGGGCTGAAATATTAGACCACAGTGAAAATGACTTAGCGATTCCACCCCAATATGTTCTAAAGTTTAGACCCAACTCTTACTTCTATTCCTTTGCAGTCACTCCCAAGTCTTTGGAAGCTTTCTTAAATAGCAATAACCAAGTCTTTTTAGAGTCAGAAATGGTGAATCAATGCAGATCTTATTTTTTTTTAATTTTCTCTTCTTTTCTTTTTTAAAAATTAGTTTAAGTTGAATTATTTCCATTGCAATTTAAAGATACTAACAACATCCTACTTCCTCAGAAACCGTGTGCCATCAATGATAC
This sequence comes from Homo sapiens, assembly GCF_000001405.40. Classification (NCBI taxonomy): domain Eukaryota; kingdom Metazoa; phylum Chordata; class Mammalia; order Primates; family Hominidae; genus Homo; species Homo sapiens. Next base: position 57,260,958 of record NC_000010.11, read on the forward strand.
AGTTTCATTATTTTCAATGTCTTTGTCTCCAATGATTAAAATGTTACTTGGCTTCAAAAATAAAATGAAGTTGCCTAATTCTCAAATTCCTGTTTTCCTTTGTTTCTTTGTAACTATTCCCTTCAGTTGTCAAGCTTCTTAAAATTGAAGTCTATACTCTTCCCCGTCATATTTTATTTACCTCCAAATCTCATATAATCTGAATTTTTCTTCACCTGTTTACTGCATAGGTTCTAGCTAAGATTATCACTGAAATTCAAGATGCCAAACATGATTTCTCTTTTTCCTTCAACAGACATGTCTTTTCTAATCTCAACATAGTTCCATGTTCAACCATGTACCGAACTCTTCTACTTGTACTTCTTTCTTTCCTGGCCACTGTGACAGTGCCCTCTGCCTTAACTTCTACTTTCCTAGTCATTCTGAGAGGTGAAGCCCACTGGACTTCCTGGGTGGAGTGGAGACTTGGAGAACTTTTCTGTCTTACAAGATGATTGTGTAATGCACCAATCAGCACTCCGTAGCTAGGATTGTAAAACGCACCAATCAGTGCTCTGTGGCTAGCTAGAGGTCTGTAAAATGTGCCAATCAGCACACTGTAAAATGGACCAATCAGTGCTCTGTAAAAGTGACCAATCAGCAGTATATGGGTGGAGAAATAAGGGAATAAAAGCTGGCCACCCCAGCCAGCAGAGGCAACCCCTCGGTTCCCCTTACATGTTTTGGAAGCTTTGTTCTTTCACTCTTCAAAATAAATCTTGCTGCTGCTCCCTATTTGGGTCCATGCCACCTTTAAGAGCTGTAACACTCACCACGAATGTTAGAAGCTTCATTCTTGAAGTCAGCAAGACGAATAACGCACGTGAAGGAACCAACTCCAGATGCAGTTCCTTTTAAGTGTCTTTTTATGAGGATTTCTCTCTCTGCCATGTATGTGTTTCTTTCCCATGGTTTATTTTCTGTTCTTCCTCTCCTCCCTTTTCTTTACTATTTCTGGACTTTCTTACCCAGAAGGCAAGAGTGTGAGGACCAACATACCTACATGTTGACAAATAATAAATACTTATCTCCAACTCTCTGCTGTAAGGCATACCCCTTCGTGCCAAACATGTTATTTCTATCCCTTATACCTTTTCTCTCATCTACAATTCTACTGCAGGTACACTTCAATTCTATTGCTGTTTCATCAATTATCTTCTTCAAAACTGGCAAGTTATTTGTGAATTCTATCTTAGTTTATTTATTTAACAAACATGTTGTATGTACCTTTTGAGACTGTCCTATTTTAGGCCTCTGTACAGAGACAAACAAGTGACTAAAGATTGCTTCCTGAAGATTGCTTTTAGGTTTTTGCTGCTCAACTTTACCAAGTAAAAATTATTTTACTAATGTCTACAAGTCTAGTCCATATTCGTGAGCATTTTTAAAAATTATAATCACGTTTTTGTTATTACATATAATATATAATATAAAATGCATTGTATAACATAAGCCATGTAATTTATATCATGTAATGTATAATATGTAGTATTATATATAATATATGAAAATATAGCAGGAAAAATAGAGATTATGGATGAATAAATAGTAAAAAATTAAAATATCTATAATCTTATAACCTTAAAGTAATTATTTCTTGAGCACCTTTATTTGTAGGTATGTGTGTATAATTAAATGTGTATTCCATGTATATAGAATATATATTACACTCTTATTATTTCATAGTGTATTTTTCTTGGTGAAAAAATATCAAGAGACTCTATGCCAATAAATATTCATTTAAAACAATAGATTTTGTGTAGTAATAATTTTTTCTTACTTAAAAATGTGAAGCACCACTTAAATGTTTTTATGTTTAAATGAAGACACATAGTAATGATTGTATTGAAATGAAGAGATGCTGGTTCAATGGAATTCAATACTTAGGATTCAAGATATGAGATTTTAATCTCATTCAGCATGGAAGACTTTTATTCATAAAGGTCAACAATGAGGAACTGATTCCAAAAATGTCATAACAAGGCTTTGTGCTTTTATCTCCAACTTCCTCACCGTGGCTTCTGCACTATCTCCCTGTGGCAGCGTCTTTTCTGTTTTGGGCTCAGCAGCCAGTGAGTGTAAAAGACATGTCTTTGATCCACTGAAATGCTCAGTTCTCCCTAGAGATTAGGTTGTCAGTCAAAGTATAGAAAATATACCACTTGTCAGAAAAGTTTCACTCTAGTAACACACACAAAAAGATTTAAAATATGAAGACTCAGTACATCTTCTCACTGAACGTATCTGTGTTCTTTAGTCACTTATTATCTCAATCTTTGCAACAAATCTCCTTCCTGATAAGCAGAAACTATGTATGTGAGCATCTGTTTGCTTTATTCTTCTGCCATAAGTACCCCAGTCAATTGGATTAAAGAATTAGTGGCTAAGTGTTACCTATTACCTTAGCTAGTATGAGAACAGAATAGAAGAGTTGGCTAGCAATCACATATGATTAAATTATAGGCTTGTACAATGCTGAACATCTGCATACAATTCAAATTTTCTGCTAAAACTTTAAATTTCTTTTAAGCCACTTACTGCTTTGGCATTACAAAAGTTTAAACATCTGGTTTTGTTTTCTACATTAGTAAATTTATCTCCAACATTGTGAAGATTTGTATAGATCTGGAGTCAATAGACTATCCTTCCACACTAAAATTTTCGAAGAAGATAAAATTTGCTGGATATACTAACAGCTTTAATATTAACCTCAATTCTTCAATTTATATTCTTTGTATGCTAACATACTAATAATTATCTTCTCTTATTTTAGTTCATAAGTTATTTATTCAAAAATATTTATTTGGTGCCTGCTTTGCTTCATACTAAACATTATTTTAGAAACTAATAAAAATGGAAATGAACAAAATAGGGACTTTCTTTGCCCTTATCGAGTTTATATTCCAGTGGGCAGAGCACAGTAAATTGTAAACCAATAAATTAAAAATTTATTTCATGTTATCATCATGCTATGATGGAAATCAAGAAAATAATTGTTTCAGTCAGAATCCCACTAGTAAACTGAAAGCACACTCAATTGGATAAGCAGACTCACACTGGAATCACCAGACAGTTGTATTTGTTTGCTTGCTTATTTGTTTTGTTTTCAGAAAGGATTTTTTTTACAAAGGTTTGAGCCTAGTAGAACCATGAGTGATAGTTCAATGACTTGCCGCTATGAACATCTGAGCTAGACCTAAAGAAATGAGCTGTATGAAGTTGCCCAGCACTCAAGGACTCAGCGATCTTGTTTTAGGGACACAACCAGCCCATGAACACACCACAGGGAGGTAGGTAGAGTAACAGGTTTG